>NT_187377.1:0-194050 GCF_000001405.40 Homo sapiens
GATCCATATAGCTAGTTGCTAAAATATATGTGGGGATTTGGTGGAAATTTGGATCTAAGCAGGGTTATTTTCCTGGTTAGGTTCAGCAAAGTGAAAGAGAAACAAGGAAGTTGAAGTTTCCTGGGAATGGTTGGCCATGGAATTTAGGCAGGAGAACAGGAAATAGAGTACATCAGTAGGTAAGGGTCATTATGAATATGACAAAATAATAGTTTGGAGGTCTCAGAGAGATTGAAAAATTTTATTTCAGCGTATGAAAGGGAATGATTAAAGGAGGAGCTCAGAGAATGGGATGAATGAAATTGTGACTACAGAGAAGTTGCTATTATAAGTAACGACGATGCTTCACTCAGTCCCTCTGGAAGTGTGGTCCCTGTGCTAGCAGCAACAGCATCACCTGGGAACTTACTAGAACTGCATATTCTCAGATTACACCCCCAGATATACCAATTCTGAAATTCCAATAGCAGGTCTCAGCAATCTCTTATTGTAACACAACTGTAGGCAATTTTGAGGCACACAGTAGTTAGCACAACTGGTCTAGTGTATGTCCTATTTGGTCTTCCTCCCCGGTTCACAGAACAGAGCTCATAAAACTTGAAATTTCCTGATAGAGATGAGAAGACCATCCTTTACTAGTCATAAGTCCCTCTTAGCCATACCTGAGTTTATGCTATTGACATGACATGAGTGGTGGCTGGAGACCTGTATAGCTTCAGGGTGGGTGCTCGACACCAGAAACATGAAGGCATAACTAGATGGTTGAAACTGTCAGCCCTCTCCTCCCTCACCTCTGAGGTGCTGGGAGGGTGATACTATGATATACTTAGAGGTCATATGGCAGCTTTGTGCCCCTTTTCACCATACCTGGCCCTATGTGTCTCTTCTATTTGAGAGTTCCTGATTTGTATCAGACAGTAACTGTAAGCAAAGTGCTTTCTTGGGTTCTGTGCGCCATGTTAGCAAATTATAGAACCTGGGGAAGGAATCCATGGAAGTCCTAATTTATAGCCAGTTGGTCAGGAGTATGGGAGGCCCACAACTCCTCTCTAATGGTGGGGGGGCAGTCCTGTGGGCCTGAACCCTGAACTTGTGGGACCTGATGCTATCTCCAGATAGATAGTCTCAGGATTGAATTGAATTGTAGGACACCATCTGGTGTCCTGAGAGTTGAAAAATTGATTGGGGTGAGACTAAATCCACAAATTTCATCTCAGAATTTTGAGTAGAAATAATTCTGTTGGAAAACATTATCGTTAGATCAAAGGTGTTTATAGAACTGAGAGATCAAAATGGCAAAGAGTCATCTATGATTACACATTGTTGACATAAACTAGAATTAAGACAAGAGTATGTCAAAGAGAGTTACATTGAGCCAGGGATAAAAATAGTCAATCGATTGATTAGAATTTAGTAAATGCTATTTTTTGAAAAATTAATCTTTACTTAATTAATGGAGATACTTAATTATTTCCATTTAGACTTTAAATTTATAACAAAAATTACTATTTTATCTATTTTCCATAAATGGAAATTGAAATAACAATAGCAAAATGCTTCGACAGAAAATCTGCCCTTCTTATTCCCAAGAGGAAGAATGGCCAACTACCTTAAGCAAAAAGTTAGAAAAACTTTCATAATTTTTTAAGTTGCCATATTTTATAGCTTTGAACAAGTTGAATTATTAACTAGACTGCTCAGGGAATGGAGCCATCTAATATAATTTCCTTACTATTTAGATAAAATCTTTGTTGTTGAAAATCTTAATCATTTTTAATGATCCTGTTTTCAGAGACTGATATTAATGATTCGTGACACTAATTAAATGCAGTTATACATCTTATTTGAAAATCATGAGGGAGATTTTTGGTCAGATATGCATAGCAAATCTATGTCACTAGACATAAGTCCCTTCTACCCATGCCACAACCTTTATGTCTACTCTTGAATTGAGGTTTTGCTACGTTTTATTTTTGAGGTTTAAGAATTATTCATTTAAATGACGGAAAATTGTGTTTCTCTTGTTAGAATAGAGCCCAACTTATCTTTTCTAATTTTCATGGAGACATGAAAGGACGTGAATTTGGAATCAGAGAAACCTGAGTTCCACCATGCTTTCTTCCTCTTGCAAGCCATGAAGTCCACAGTGGGTTAGTAGATATTACAAAACCTCTGGTCCCACCTTATTAAGATGAAAAAAAAATAATACTAATTGAAAGAACGAATGTGATAATGAGAAGAAATGGTATCAATAAAGTTTCTGGAACACAGTAAGTTCTAACAAATGCTAGTTCTTTTCTTTCATTATTCAAAATCTAAATAGAAGCCAGTTGGTAATTCCAAGATAATAGTATGAAGACAAAAAAATGTTTGTTAACTGACCTTCAACCATTGAGACCTTATCTTATAGGAAGCAAAATTAACAAATATTTTCTCCCTTCTACAAATGTACACCCTCTGAGAAAGAGAGACAGTGTTCCAATCAAGACAATGACAGTATTCTGTGCACACATAGGAAGGGAAGAAGAATAAGAGAGAACCTTCAAAAAGACAATTTTAGATAGGCACCCTGTTTTTACCAGCAATAACATTTTGTAGAACTTACGGCATACAAAGAAGACCTTAAATGGACTCAGTGCTGAGAAATTTTTATAAGGCTGCTTTATTTTCTTCTATGGTAAATCTAGGAACCAATAAAATAGCTTTGATAATTCACTCATTACATTCTTTCCTAACTAAACCATTTACATTATAAACTTTGTTGATATGCTTTGCTTTTGCATTAATAATTCTCATGTGTCTCATTTGTGAATACATGAAAACTAGTTGTAAAATAAGGAAAATGTAATTTTGAAGCATCTTCAAAAACAGTTGCATAATTTAACAATGTTTATAAGTTTTTGTCCTTACTCTGAAACCATAGACATCCTAAAAGTGATTGAAGGTAAAATGATTTTTTAAAGAACTGGATTTCTCACCATGATTTATTTTATCTCCATACAAACTTTGGTAGTGTTATACGATGGTTAAGAAGAAATTACTTAAAAGTGAGAATAAAGATACAGCTTATTAACACTTCATTTTGTGAATGAGACCTGAAAAATTAAACTTTTCTTCTAGAGACATGTTGTAGTTGTGTATATAGACTGTGACTAGATAGTGTCCATATTTTACTGTCATTATTTAAACAGAAACATGTAATTTGCACTTCAAAAACCTAGTACAAATTAGCTGTGTCATTTGGAAGTGTCAAAATTATCTCATTAATGATCAGATAGGCTTTTGGCTCATTGTAATGAGATGATCCTATAAACTTAATTTGAAAGACAAAGACAGAGTTTGGAGTCTTTAATTCTTGGTAAAATCAGTAGCTCTATTTAGGGATATATTTACAAAATACTATTTCTACTCAAGCATATTTTTATTTACAAGGCGCTTCACAAATGTTGACCACAAAGATGTTTCTACCTAGCAGAAATAATTATAGTTACATATAGTTGTCTAGGAATATCTTAAACATGGGGTATTAAAATAACTTTCAAGAACAAGAAGAAATGTTATACCAGGCATTTTTGCAACTAGTGCTCTATTTCAGTGCAATATTTGTGGCAATTAAAAAACATAAATGGCTTGGATATATAGCTAAGATATCAAGGGAAAAATATGCAAAGGCATGATTATTTTATAAATGTGCCACATATGTGACTTGAGGTACAAATCCTCTAAGTTTAAAATTGTCTTTTTAAAAAAGAAATCAAAACAGACAAGTGGGCAATGAGTTATGGATACTATTATAGGGTACCCTGATAAACTACTAAGAAGACGACTTTTGGTACCGAAAATTCCAATTAACCACATGCCTCCATTAAGGCCATGATCACTGCCAATTTTTACACACAAAGGCTGGAGCTAGAATTATATGGAATTCCATATGTATCTAAACCATAGATTTATCAATTATCACTGAAACACAACTTGGAGGACACTATCCAGAATTTGTAGGGCTTGGCCTTATTCTAGAGAAACATACACTAGAATAGGCAGTTGGATTTTAAATTCAGTCTTAAATCTGTTGAAAATAATGCATTTTTTTCTCAGAGATGAGACATTGTTCAACTCTTTTGACTTATTTTAGATTTGATATTATACAGTTCAAACACCATGGAGATTTACTAATCTGAATGAACACATACCAAATTAGTCTTTGCTCCAGTCTCAAAATCTGAGATTAATTCTGGCTGCTGAAGAAATTTTCCAGTGTTAGGGGTATGCTTCAATGCTGGTGACTGGTACTACTTTCTGGTAAACTATAGATGACATGTGCGCTTTCATTGCCTAAACTCACTTTGTAGAACACCATTAAATGAAAATCATCACAAGCAATTTGGGAGGCTAAGGTGGGCAGATCATTTGAGGTCAGGTGTTTGAGACCAGCCTGGCCAACATGATGAAACCCCGTCTCTACTGAAAATACAAAAACTTATCCAGGCATGGCGGGATGCACCTGGAATCCCAGCTACTTGGGAGGCTGAGGCAGAAAAATCGCCTGAACCCAGGATGTGAAGGTTGCAGTGAACAGAGACGTTGCCATTGCACTCCAGCCTGGGCAACAGAGTGAGACTTCATCTCCAAAAAAAGGAAAAAAAAGAGAGAAAGAGAGAAATAAAATTATCAGTGTTCAGTGACTCTTTTTTTTCATGCTGATAAACTATTACACAGAAAAAGAAAATTTTCATGCTGATAAACTATTACACAGAAAAAGAAATGTATCCATTATGGACAATTAAAAGGGCTATACAACCTCTCTCATTGTATGATTCTGGTTTTCTTTCTTTTTCTTTTCTTTTTTTCTTTTTTTTTTTTTAATATAGGATCTCACTCTGTCACCCAGGCTGGAATGCAGTGGCTCTATCTTGGCTCACTGCAACCTCAGCCTCCGGGGTTCAAGCTATTCTCCTGCCTTAGCCTCCTGAGTGGCTGGGAATAAAGGCATTCACCACCACGCCAGCTAATTTGTGTATTTTTTTAATACAGGTGGGGTTTTGCTATGTTGCCCAGGCTGGTCTTGAACTCCTGACCTCAAATGATCCTCCCGCCTCGGCCTCCCTAAGAGTTGGCATTACAGGCATAAGCCACCATGCTTGGCCTGATTCTGTTTTTTAACACAATTCTTATTACTTCTGTTTTAATTTTACAAAGCCATAGGTTTTTAATCTGGGAAACCTTTGAGAAAACATCCAGATAAATTTATAAATAGAAAAATAAATTCAGATACATAGAATTAAGTTTATGATCTAACAAGTGGGTGGCCATTGAAAACTTTCCAAGTTCCATAAACTGAAGTGAAAGGATCCCTTTCCTGAAAATATTACAAAGGCTTGATAATTACCTGGATTGTACTAAAACCTACACAATCTAGTATATTCTATAGCAGCAATTCATAAAGACAGCTTCACTTACCATGTAGAATTTATACGTACACTAAATTTAAGGAATGCATTACTTGCTATTGGAGTAGGATAATAAACTCCCAGCAGAACTGATTTGCATGAATGCCTATTAAACTATCATTGATGTAGAAATTAAACAATATATTAAGCTATTGAGCCCCAGATGTGTGAGAGACAGAGAAAAACTTCAAAAGAGTTCAGCTACCAAATCCCTTCCTCAATAGCTCTTTGAGTCTCAAGACAGTTTCAACCACACACACCCTCAGAGTCTTATAGTCCAAACAACATTTGACTGCAGCTCTAAAGTAAGCAAACATTTGAAAAGAAACAATCAAAGATCTATGCCTGTAGTTATGGTCAAGGAGGTCCACCTACTCTGGGTGAGCATGGCAAGGATAGGGACTAAGCCAAATGATGGGTTTACCAAAACAGAAACAGGAGAAGTCATTGGAAGCACAGTCCAGGTTATAACAGGAGCCCAGGCACTTGATGTGGGAACCCTATTTGTCTCATTCAGCACCTAGAGTTTTAACATCCTATGAGGCACAGCTAATGCCCTTCATTATTTTTTTGTAATTGACTGCATAGTTTAGAACTATGCCTTGAATTTAATATCTATCTGTTGAATAAATGAATTAATAATGATGAAAATCTGTCCACAGGTTATGTGCAGTACTGAAGAGCAACTTCAGCTATTGAGGTATCTATCAGAAGTCTTACTCTCTAAAAAGCCTCTGGTTAATTACTGATATAGGTTGCTGACAATTTCACTCTCACAATGTAAGGGAAGCAGGAATGTTATCTGGCCTCTTGGCTCCTATTCCTTTGCCTTCCACAGATCTCTCTGCTGGTTCACAGAGGAACAGTTTTGTGGCTTTCAGTTCATTTTGCAATTCTGCTAGAATCTCATTCCATCCTCAGTTGTAACAAGCTTGTCCTTCACCCAACACTTATTTATGGAGGGAGAGATAGCAAGAAGAAATCGCACTCTGGATTACAGAGTGGGAAGACGCACCCCTTGGCCAGAATGCCTGCCTCCTATGTTCATGATGGATATTTCTAATTGATCTCGGCACTCTTTTCCATTGAGCCCATGTCCCATATTGGCCGTGAGTTGGGGAGAGGGCTCTAGAGTGGGAAAGTTGTACCCAAAACTTCCCTAATCTGACTACCAAGCCTAAAAAATTAAACTTTCAATTCAACATCCCTTGTTTCTCCAACTTGGAGTGCCTGATGGTGTGGGAAGCCCCTACTCATAAAAATTCATAGTTGAAGATTGTTGGTAATTTTGCCCAACCTCCTTCTTTTTTTTTATTATACTTTAAGTTCTAGGGTACTTGTGCACAACTTGCAGGTTCATTACATATGTACACATGAGACATGTTGGTGTGCTGCACCGATTAACTCGTCATTTTCATTAGGTATATCCCCTAATGCTTTTCCTCCCCTAGCCCCTCACCCCACAACAGGCCCCAGTGTGTGATGTTCCCCCTTGTGATAGTTTGCTGAGAATAATGGTTTCCAGCTTCATCCATGTCCCTACAAAGGACAAGAACTCATCATTTTTATGGCTGCAGAGTATTCCATGGTGTATATGTGCCACATTTTCTTAATCCAGTCTATCAATGTTGGACATTTGGGTTGGTTCCAAGTCTTTGCTATTGTCAGTAGTGCCTCAATAAACTCCTTCTTTCTTTGCCTAGTTACACCTCAATGCAACCTCCTGGCAGGCCAGCCTTAAGCCCAGCAGTCTAACCATGCATCTAAGCTGAGTTCTCGTCAGAGCCAACTTCAATTATAAACAACTGAGATGATGCCAGAGGCCAGAATCCCTGAGAACCCAATTTGCTGTCATAACCGCAGGTGAAACAAGGCACTTGGCATCTAGAAAAGCTGGTCTGTAGGAAATTTCCAAAAGAGTTCAATTTTTTCCAAGTTTAAAGTGTACAATATCATCAAGGTCAGACACTCGAGATAAAACTAGGCTTGTGTTTAAATATAATAAAAATATTTGAAGAATAGTAAGAGTGGTGACTACTTTTACACAGGAATGTTTCAAATAAATTGTTTTTTTTCTTGTGCCTTTTAAATTTTGTGATTTGTCAATGAGATGCTGACATATTTTTAACGAAGCATGCCTTGTAAAATAATAAGTGAATGAAAACTACACAGTAATATTCACATCAACAAAGCTAGAAGAAGACTGTATGTCTCAAGAGGCTCCATCATCTACCCAGTGGCCACTTGACCAAATTAAGATCCAAATACCAAAAAGAAAAGTAATTAAAATTTGTGTTGTATGCCTTATAAGACCAAACCTATAAAATGAGGGGAAACTTCACAATTACTTGGAATTTGCTCTGTGGAATTGTAACAGATGGATTATAAAGATGATTCCATGATAAACATCTAAATGTGGTTACTACCTTCTGTGCTTTCTTGCTTCATATTTTTATTGTTTTTTTCTTTATAAACAGATAATTCATTCCTATCTATGGCAATGCAAACTTTTCTGATGTATTGAATATGTCATAGTTTTTTTCTATTGTAGGCATCTCTAAAAAAGGTATAGAAAACAAACAGAGAAAAGTCTGATGTTGGAAAGGAGAGAGAAATAAAGCTTGTAAAGGAATGAAGATTAGATCTTTCTGGAGATAAAAATTCTTAGAAGATACAAAAGGTAGTTACTGAATTAGATGAAGGTTCTTTTTCAGTTTTTCCCAGTCGTTCATCTCTTAGAAGGCACATATTCACAGCAGAAAAGAAAAAAAGTGTTAAAAAGAAAATACCTTGGTGTAGTGAGACTGTAATTTCATGAGGGCATTACTGAAGACTCACTTTTTCCAGCATCACTCAGCATGGTATTATGCATGTGTGTAATGTAAAGGAAAGTGAATACGCATTCTTGGATGGGTGATCAAATGGTAATTCCAGAATATAATCAGAAGCTGATTCATTATCCTCTTGAGATTTCACAATCTTTCTATCAGGAATTAAAATTCAGAAGAGGGTAAATGTATCTAATCGTTTGAAAGTTAAAAATTAGAGGATGGAGGCAACATGGTCGAATAGGAACAGCTCCAGTCTACAGCTCCCAGCATGAGTGATGCAGAAGACAGGTGATAACTGCATTTCCAACTGAGGTACCAGGTTCATCTCAATGGGGAGTGCTGGACAGTGGGTGCAGCGCACCATGCATGAGCCAAAGCAGGGCAAGGCATCACCTCACTTGGGAAGCACAATGGGTCAGGGAATTCCCTTTCCTAGTCAAAGAAAGGGGTGACAGATGGAACCTGGAAAATCAGGTCGCTCCCACCCTAATACTGCGCTTTTCCAACAGGCTTATCAAATGGCACACCAGGAGATTATATCCAGCACCTGGCTTGGAGGATCCTACACCCACGGAGCCTCGCTGTTTGCTAGCACAGAAGTCTGAGATCAAACTGCAAAGTTACAGTGGGGCTGGGGGAGGGGCGCCTGCCATTGCTCAGGCTTGAGTAAGTAAACAAAGCAGCCAGGAAGTTCGAACTGGGTGGAGCCCACCACAGCTCAAGGAGGCCAGCCTGCCTCTGTAGGCTCCACCTCTGGGGGCAGGGCACAGACCAACAAAAGACGGCAATATCCTCTGCAGACTTACATGCCCCTGTCTGACAGCTTTGAAGAGAGTAGTGTTTCTCCCAGCATGCAGCTTGAGATCTGAGAATGGGCAGACAGCCTCCTCAAGTGGGTTCCTGACCCCTGAGTAGCCTAACTGGGAGGCACCCCCCAGTAGGGGCAGACTGACATCTCACATGGCCGGGTACCCCTCTGAGTCAAAACTTCCAGAGGAACGATCAGGCAGCAGCATTTGCAGTTCACCAATATCCATTGTTCTGCAGCCACTGCTGCTGATACCCAGGCAAATAGTGTCTGGAGTAGATCTCTAGTAAACTCCAACAGACCTGCAGCTGAGGGTCCTGACTGTTAGAAGGAAAACTAACAAACAGAAAGGACATCCACACCAAAACCCCATCTGTATGTCACCATCATCCAGGACCAAAGGAAGATAAAACCACAAAGATGGGAAAAAACAGAGCAGAAAAACTGGAAACTCTAAAAATCAGAGTGCCTCTCCTCCTGCAAAGGAATGCAGCTCCTCACCAGCAGTGGAACAAAGCTGGACGGAGTATGACTTTGGCGAGTTGAGAGAGGAAGGCTTCAGAAGATCAAAGTACTCTGAACTAAAGGAGGAAGTTCGAACCAATGGCAAAGAAGTTAAAAACTTTAAAAAAAAATTAGACGAATGGATAACTAGAAAAACAAATGCAGAAAAGTCCTTAAAGGACCAGATGGAGCTGAAAACCATGGCACAACTACGACATGACAAATGCATAAGCCTCAGTACCCGATGTGATCAACTGGAAGAAAGAGTATCAGCGATGGAAGATGAAATGAATGAAATAAAGCATGAAGAGAAGTTTAGGGAAAAAGGAATAGAAGAAATGAACAAAGCCTCCAAGAAATATGGGACTATGTGAAAAGACCAAATGTATGTCTAATTGGTGTACCTAAAAGTGACGGGGAGAATGGAACCAAGTTGGAAAACACTCTGCAGGATATTATCCAGGAGAACTTCCCCAATCTAGTAAGGCAGGCCAACATACAAATTCAGGAAATACAGAGAATGCCACAAAGATACTCCTCGAGAAGAACAACTCCAAGACAAATAATTGTCTGATTCACCAAAGTTGAAATGAATGAAAAAATTTTAAAGGCAGCCAGAGAGAAAGGTCAGGTTACCCACAATAGGAAGCCCATCAGACTAACTGCTGATCTCTCCTCAGAAATTCTACAAGCCAGAAGAGAGTGGGGGCCAATATTCAACATTCTTAAAGAAAAGAATTTTCAACCCAGAATTTCATATCCAGCCAAACGAAGCTTCATAAGTGAAGGAGAAATAATATACTCCACAGACAAGCAAATGCTGAGAGATTTTGTCACAACCAGGCCTGCCCTAAAAGAGCTCCTGAAGGAAGCACTAAACATGGAAAGGAACAACTGGTACCAGCCACTGCAAAAACATGCCAAATTGTAAAGACCATCAAGGCTAGGAAGAAACTTCATCAACTAACGAGGAAAATAACCAGCTAACATCATAATGACAGGATCAAATTCACACATAACAATACTAACCGTAAATGTAAATGGGTTAAATGCTCCAATTAAAAGGCACAGACCGACAAATTGGATAAAGAGTCAAGACCCATCAGTGTGCTTTATTCAGGAAAGGCTTCTCACCTGCAGAGACACACATAGGCTCAAAATAAAGGGATGGAGGAAGATCTACCAAGCAAATGGAAAACAAAAAAAGGCAGGGGTTGCAATCCTAGTCTCTGATAAAACAGACTTTAAACCAACAGAGATCAAAAGAGACAAAGAAGGCCATTACATAATGGTAAAGGGATCAATTCAACAAGAACTAACTATCCTAAATATATATGCACACAATACAGAAGCACCCAGATTCATAAAGCAAGTCTTTAGTGATCTACAAAGTGACTTAGACGCCCACAAAATAATAATGGGAGACTTTAACACCCCACTGTCAACATTAGACAGATCAACGAGACAGAAAGTTAACAAGGATATACAGGAATTGAACTCAGCTCTGCACCAAGCAGACCTAATAGACATCTACAGAACTCTCTATCCCAAATCAACGGAATATGTATTCTTTTCAGCACCACACCACACCTATTCCAAAATTGACCACATAGTTGGAAGTAAAGCACTCCTCAGCAAATGTAAAAGAACAGAAAGTATAACAAACTGTCTCTCAGACCACAGTGCAATCAAACTACAACTCTGGATTAAGAAACTCACTCGAAACGACTCAACTACATGGAAACTGAACAACCTGCTCCTGAATGACTACTGGGTACATAAGGAAATGAAGGCAGAAATAAAGATGTTCTTTGAAACCAACAAGAACAAAGACACAACATACCGGAATCTCTGGGACACATTCAAAGCATCGTGAAGAGGGAAATTTACAGCACTAAATGCCCACAAGAGAAAGCAGGAAAGAAATAAATTTGACATCTTAACATCACAATTAAAAGAACTAGAGAAGCAAGAGCAAACACATTCAAAAGCTAACAGAAGGCAAGAAGTAACTAAGAACAGAGCAGAACTGAAGGAAATAGAGACACAAAAAACCCTTCAAAAAATCAATGAATACAGAAGCTGTTTTTTGAAAAGATCAACAAAATTGACAGACCACTAGCAAGACCAATAAAGAAGAAAAGAGAGAAGAATCAAATAGATGCAATAAAAATTGACAAAGGGGATATCACCACCGATCCCACAGAAATACAAACTACAATCAGAGAATACTATAAACACCTCTACACAAATAAACTAGAAATTCTAGAAGAAATGGATAAATTCCTTGACACATATACTCTCCCAAGACTAAACCAGGAAGAAGTTGAACCTCTGAATAGACAAATAAAACGCTCTGAAATTGAGGCAATAATTAATAGCTTACCAACCAAAAAAAGTCCAGGACCAGATGGATTCACAGCCGAATTCTACCAGAGGTACAAGGAGGAACTGGTACCATTCCTTCTGAAACTATTCCAATCAATAGAAAAAGAGGGAATCCTCCTAACTCATTTTATGAGGCCAGTATCATCCTGATACCAAAGCCTGGCAGAGACAAAACAAAAAAAAGAGAATTTTAGACCAATATCCTTGATGAACATTGATGCAAAAATCCTCAATAAAATACTGGCAGACCGAATCCAGCAACACATAAAAAAGCTTATCCACCATGATCAAGCGGGTTTCATCCCTTGGATGCAAGGCTGGTTCAACATATGAAAATCAGTAAACGTAATCCAGCATATAAACAGGACCAAAGACAAAAACCACATGATTATCTCAATAGATGCAGAAAAGGCATTTGATAAAATTCAGCAAACCTTCATGCTAAAAACTCTCAATAAATTAGGGATTGATAGGACTTATCTCAAAATAATAGGAGCTATCTATGACAAACCCACAGCCAATATCATACTGAATGGACAAAAACTGGAAGCATTCCCTTTGAAAACTGGCACAAGACAGGGATGCCCTCTCTCACCACTCCTATTCAACATAGTGTTGGAATTTCTGGCCAGGGCAATCAGGAAGGAGAAGGAAATAAAGGGCATTCAATTAGGAAAAGAGGAAGTCAAATTGTCCGTTTGCAGATGACATGACTGTGTATGTGGAAAATCCCATCGTCTCAGCCTAAAATCTCCTTAAGCTAATAAGCAACTTCAGCAAAGTATCAGGATACAAAATCAATGTGCAAAAATCACAAGCATTCTTATACACCAATAACAGACAAACAGAGAGCCAAATCATGAGTGAACTCCCATTCACAATTGCTTCAAAGAAAATAAAATACCTAGGAATACTACTTACAAGGGAAGTGAAGGACCTCTTCAAGGAGAACTACAAACTACTGCTCAATGAAATAAAAAAGGATACAAACAAATGGAAGAACATTCCATGCTCATGGGTAGGAAGAATCAATATCTTGAAAATGGCCACACTGCCCAAGGTAATTTATAGATTAAATTCCATCTCCATCAAGCTACCAATGACTTTCTCCACAGAATTGGAAAAAACTACTTTAAAGTTCATACGGAACCAAAAAAGAGCCCACATTGCCAAGTCAATCCTAAGCCAAAAGAACAAAGCTGGAGGCATCATGCTACCTGACTTCAAGCTATTCTACCAGGCTACAGTAACCAAAACAGCATAGTACTAGTACCAAAACAGAGATATAGACCAATGGAACAGGACAGAGCCCTCAGAAATAATGCCACATATCTACAACTATCTGATCTTTGACAAACCTGACAAAAACAAGAACTAGGGAAAGGATACCCTATTTAATAAATGGTGCTGGGAAAACTGGCTAGCCGTATATAGAAAGCTGAAACTGGATCCCTTCCTTACACCTTATACAGAAATTAATTCACGATGGATTAAAGACTTACATGTTAGACCTAAAACCATAAAAACCCTAGAAGAAAAACCAGGCAATACCATTCAGGACATAGGCATGGGCAGAGACTTCATGTCTAAAACACCAAAAGCAATGGCAACAAAAGCCAAAATTGACAAATGGGATCTAATTAAACTAAGGAGCTTCTGCACAGCAAAAGAAACCACTATCAGAGTGAACAGGCATCCTACAGTATGGGATAAAAGTTTTGCGACCTCCTCATCTGACAAAGGGCTAATATCCAGAATCTACAATGAACTCAAACGAATTCACAAGAAAAAAACAAACAACCCCATCAAAATGTGGGCAAAGGAAATGAACAGACACTTCTCAAAAGAAGACATTTTGCAGCCAAAAGACACAGGAAAAAATGCTCATCATCACTGGCCATCAGAGAAATGCATATCAAAACCACAATGAGATACCATCTCACACCAGTTAGAATGGCGATCATTAAAAAGTCAGGAAACAACAGGTGCTGGAGAGGATGTGGAGAAATAGGAAAACTTTTACACTGTTGGTGGAACTGTAAAGTAGTTCAACCATTGTGGAACTCGGTGTGGTGATTCCTCAGGGACCTAGAACTAGAAATACCATTTGACCCAGCCATCACATTACTGGGTATATACCCAAAGGATTATAAATCATGCTGCTATAAAGACACAAGCACGTGTATGTTTATTGTGGCACTATTCACAATAGCAAAGACTTGGAGCCAACACAAATGTCCAACAATGATAGACTGGATTAAGAAAACGTGGCACATATACACCATGGAATACCATGCAGCCATAAAAAATGTTGAGTTCATGTCCATTGTAGGGACATGGATGAAGCTAGAAACCATCATTCTCAGCAACCCATTGCAAGGAAAAAACCAAACACCACATGTTCTCACTCATAGGTGGGAATTGAACAATGAGAAAACATGGATACAGGAAGGGGAACATCACACACTGAGGACAGTTGTGGAGTGGGGGGAGGGGGGAAGGATAGCATTAGGAGATATACCTAGTGTTAAATGACGAGTTAATGGGTGCAGCACACCAACATGGCCCATGTACACATATCTAACAAACCTGCACGTTGTGCACATGTACCCTAAAACTTAAAATATAATAATAAAAAAATAACAGGAGACTTTTATACAGATAAATTTGCTTTGCATCATGATCAGCACTAAAGTGCATCATAGATTTAAACCATATTTACACAGTTAAAACAATGTAACCAAATATGCAATATATTATGTAACATTCTACAAGATGCTTTCAAACATGCAAACTGACCTTTAAAACAATTTTGCATAAAAGAACATTTCTAGGTAAGAGAAAAGACAGACATGTGGTTAGGGCAAAATATTTCTGTTCAAATTACAAAATACTGAATGACAAATCACAGGATAGAAAAAAAATTATATTGTACCTGGAATTTGAAGTCTTCAAATTTATTTAGATATATGTATCTATATGTATTAATAGAGACATATTTAACTGATTATAAGTTTAGAACATTTATATTTTGAAGATGTCATTCTTTAAAAATTATTAATATCTACAGGATTGCTGCAGATATTTTAATTTTAAACAAATATTTTTCACTAATGTGACCAGTATTTATATCCTATTTCATTGAACAGACATTTCAAGATTCTTTTAGAGTTAATTTTTAAAAATTAAGTATCGCACATATTTCTGAAGTACTAACTTAAAAAATAAAACTCTTTCCTAGCTTTACATATAGTTAAACATTTTCATAATGACTAAAAAGATAAAAATAAATTAACAACCATAATTAAATTAGAATTCTACTTTCTATATCAGATGAAATACTATATAAAATGTCCAGAAAATCTAGTGTTAATGAGGCTGTGCAGCCTGGACATTTGATGTCTCATCTGTGGGAATGTGAACTAACCCAACCATTCTGAATAATTATTGGCTCTGTGTGTTAACAGTCTAGAGTCCTGAAACAAGGATCTTAATTCTAAAATAAAATCCTATTCTAAGAATATACCAAGGGTTGATAATCAAGGAAGTTTCAAAGTTATAGAGAAGAACTTTCATCCTAGCATTATATATGTAATCATCCATATAAACCAGATAGTGTTGAATGAAACTGCGGAAAAACAAAGAGCCTACAGAATATGTTTCTCTTTGTGTACATCTGTAAATGTACACATCTATCCATGTAAAATTTTACATCTCAGGAGGATAGGTACCAACATGTTAACATGCTATAGCTATAAGATAAGAAATTTTACTTTCCTACAATTTCATACACACACACACACACACACACACTCTCAAACACATACACACACACCGAGGATATATACGCACACAAATATATATATAAACATACATGTTTATATAGGTACACACACACATACATATACACTGATGGTCAACTTATAATGGTTCAATTTATGATTTTTTTTTTACTTTATGATGAAGCAAAAGTGATAGCTTTGAATAGAATATAACCATTCTGCTTTTCACTTTCAGTACAATATTCAACAAATTACATAAAATATCCAATACTTTATTATAAAGTGGGTTTTGTATTCAATGATTTTGCCCAATTGTCAGCTGATGTAAGTGTTCTGAGCACATTAAAGGTATGCCAGGCTAAGCTGTGATATTCAGTAAGTGAGGTATTAAATACATTTTTAACTTACTGTATTTTCAATTTATAATCAGCTTTTCAAGACTTAACCCCATTGTACATTGAAAAGCATTTGTATTGCATTAAACATGTTATAAAATATTTTTAATTGAAATTACTGGCAACTTTTGAAAAAATGTAATTAAATAATGTGCTTTGCTATTGGTTGAAATGTTTTTGGACAGGGTCAGTGGCTTACATCTGTAATCCCAGCACTTTGGTAGGCTGAGGTGGGCAGATCACTTGAGGTCAGGAGTTTGAGACCAGCCTGGCAAACAGGGTGAAACCCCATCTCTACTAAAAATACAAAAATTATCTGAGTGTGGTGGCATGTGCCTGTAATCCCAGCTACTAGGGAGGCTGAGGTGTGAGAATTCCTTGAACTAGGCAAGCAGAGGTTGCAGTGAGCCAAGATCATGCCATTGCACTCCAGCCTGGGCAACAGAGTAAGATTCTGTCAAAAAAAAAAAAGAAAGAAAGAAAAGAAAAAAAAGTTTTTAGCTTCAAGTAACAGAATAGTCAACTAACTGAAGAAAAAAACAAGGAGCAACTTTTACCAAATCGCACAACAAATAGATGGTATCAATGCTTAGTTAATTCAACATGATCCACTTCTTCGTGATTCTCTTATCTTTCTACCTATGTTTTCAAGATGGCTATGGCATTCCCAGCCTTACAACTTCATGTGACAAAATTCAATGGCAGGAAATAATAAGTGATGACATTTTGGAACTTTAAGGAAAAACTTTAAGGATTGGAAAACAGGGATGCCATATGTCCAGTAACATGGGATAGTCGCTCCTAATTAAGGATTGCTGTATGTCCTGAATGACTTTCTAATGTAATGAAGGTGAATAACCTGCTTTGTTTAATTATACAATCCCAAATGTAACTGCCTAAGTGCCAAGTACTTTTGCATGGTTTTAATATGCCATGAATTTTGCAAGAATGAAACTACTATGTATATGAGAAAAGACGGTAGATTTTTTCATTTAGATACTCATTTCAGAGTCTCAATAGGAAAAATAGAACACACACAAACTAAGATAATTTAATATGGGTTTATTTCCAAAGAGACTACTTACGAAAATGTCAGGGGAGAAGGGTGAAGGAATCACAGAAATCACACCCCACAATAACTCTGGGTTAGTAGCAGTAGGCAGAGTTCTGGGGAGTAAACTGCCCTTATCACACAAGGAAACACTAATTTTCTTATGAAAAAGATTGGTCAAGGAGACCTAGCAGAGAGGGAGTTTAGGCAATAACCCCCAATCTCATTTCCTCCTTCCCTTTAATCTCATGAACATGCATAGAAGGCAATGAGCAAGGGAACCCATTGAGATATTCAATATGGACCATTCCACTTGGACAAAAGCCAGTAAATAGGGGAGTATAACAGGGGACAAGGGCCAAACAGAAATATCTATTACATTTACCAATGCAGATCAATCATGTCAACAATAGAAATGGCAGTTTTGGAATTTGGTTATTCAATGAAACTATATTTGTAGCTTTTTATTTACAATGTTTCAAAGTATGGGTGAAGATATGAAAATTTCATTATGTTCTATTGTATTTGATATGTAAATGTTCTGGCACAATTATATACATTTTGGATTATATATTGACAGTAAATTATTTCTCCTTTGTTAGCTTCAGCATAACATTAATATTTTCAACAACTTGAATGCATACATTGTGTTCTCACTAATAGTTTAGAATAGCGAAGGGGTCTTTGAAGAATTTCTTATGAAGTAGAGGCATTGGCTCAGACAGAGCCGAAAACCATTGGCTTAGATTAATCACTATTTATCCTAGGGCTGAAGAGGGCCAATTGAAGACACAAATGTCCAATCCCTCTATGACCTTGGAGATCTATGAAACAGAGAAATAGAGACTGGTTCTTAAGGAGGTAATAAGTGTGCCTTCTATGGTTTATAATAATATGCATTGTCTTAACAATCGAACACTTAAAAGTTAATGCCCTCATAATATGCAAAATTTTTAATAAGCACATTGGTCCCTGTGTTCAAGTAGTTGGTAATCAAATTAGTGAAGTATGGTAAGTCTTTTGAAGAGCATTAAACAGCAGAGAATGTAAGAAATTTATCTCTATAGTATTGTGGGTCTTCTGTGTTTCCTAAGGGCACATTCATATGATCTAATAACTGAGCAGAGAGAAGCCTATAGGATAGTTTATGGTTTCATTTGTTTGTTTTTGCCAATTAACATACATTTCTAGATTAAAAGTCAGCTATCTTTTCCTTGGGAGTCAACTATAGGAGAAGATAGTGAAGAGGCAAGGAAAATTACAGCAGCTCAACAGCTTTACCCTGGAAATATCTGTATTGTGTACCGCTATAGCCTACCTTTATCAGTCAGATAACAATGTCAAAGAGGCAAGCTTGGCACCGTTGCTCTTAGTGAATCTCTGCTGCCAGCCTTTTATCCTAAGTGCTCTCCAAAGACCCATTTAATGGACCTTCCTGAAATTGTGTTCAGGATCAATATGAGGCTCATTGATACAGCATTTTTGGAACTCACCATTTGCTTATTTATTAAACCTGGGATAGTTGCCCGACTTATATCATCTGAAATCCTCTCCATGACTTTCAAAATTATCAACATTGGTTCCAACATTATTCCTAGAAAACATTTCAGTGGAGTATATTTATCTGACATTTGACTGTATTTATAGCAGTAAGAATCTATGATGATTCCTCCCAAAATAATCCCACAATTACCCATTTTGGGTCACCTTTGAGGGTTTTACCCTTAATATCAGAGATCTGTTCTATACATTTGAGTCTTAGAAATAATTACTAGCTTCTCTCTGAATTTAACTGAAGTTCCTTACTTTTATTCAGCCTGTTACCCAAATTACATAATGTATTGAAGGCTAAAAACTGTCCAAATTTCTGATTACATTTAGATAAAAATGGGAATATGACTTTTTCTTTTTCTAACTTGGCAAAGATTATGTTTTTTTTCATGAAGAAATATAGGCATATTTAAACACTCAGGATCTGAGAATTTGAAATACATGAAACTTAGCAAGTGGTCTTTAAGTAGTTTTCATTTCTAAATTATAGTACATTCCATTGAATGCTACAGAAGGAAAGACAATGAGGGATTACTCATAAACATTGCCTTTATGATATCCTTCCAAAGAAAACCAAGTGTCCCTGTGCTTGGACTCATAAAGCAGAAATACTCACCTTGCTTTTATGTCACTAACAAACAATTGTGCCTAGTCAATTAATTCTAACTCATATAAGCCATCTTGAGAGTGGAGCCCCTAGGGAAAACTACAAATGGAAAATTCATTGATTTTTGACTTTGCTTTCCTATGGATTAAATTTAACACTTTCTTGTAAATCTCTCCCTTTACAGATCATATGTGATAAATAGTTATCCAACTTTCTAGATGTCCACCCAGAGCTGCTTCCATATGAAGAGGTGGAAACGGATTCTGTGCATGATACTGGTTAGGATAGGGAACTGTTTTTTTTAAAGGAGATTTTAAAAATTTGTTTTCCTTGTACACATAGTCTTAATATTGTGTTGCTAACTGCCCTCTGGGAACAAAGTCATACCAATCAGAAATACATTGCCTAAAGCGGGAGGCTTATTACTCTGCTGTGAATTCCATCTCCTATTATGTTTTAAAGATGCTACAAACTTGAGACATTACTATGTAGATGACATTCCCAGCAAATCCCCAAACAACATTTAATGAGATTTCAAATACCAGGATCATGAAACAGTAAAAGATATAAGGAAATAAAGAAAAGCACAGTATATGTGTAGAAGACATTAAAACAAAAATTTTATAATTATGAATGCATATAATAAGGAACAAGTTTTATTCTAAATAGCAATTAAATCAGAACTATGATACAGGGAATAAAAGTGAATATTAAACCATTGTACCGACAATAACAGAGCCCTTTTTCTGCTCTGTGATGGAATTTAGTGTTTGCTAAGGAAGAAGAAAAATTCAAGATATCTTAAATTTGGTACTTTCCAACAAATTTAAGAAATGTGTACACACTTGAGGGGACTTAAGAAGTCTCTGACTAAAACACTAGAAAAGAAAAGCAGTGAAAAGCCAAATAACTATTACTCAACAATAACGACATTTGTTACTATTATATTAATATTAAACACACTATTAAGCAACAACATTTCAGTTACTCACTGAGCCCAAAGTCATTTTTCATGAACCATTCACAACACTGATAACCTATTGAAAAATGATTGAAAACAAAAAAGCTTATTGCTTTCCAAGTCCTTTTAAAGCCTTCTCATGTGTCATTTCATATAATCCTTATAACGAATCTATGGAGTATATACTGACTTTATCTCTGTACAGAAAAGAAAACTGAGTTATATTCAGAATAAGTTGCAAAGTTCCCCAGATAATCAGTGTCATAGGTGAAATTTGATGTCACAGTGTAGTCAAGTGTAATTTAGGGAAGCAGTACAAATGATGGTTGAAAGCACAGGTTCTGGGGTAAATAGCCTGAAGTCAAAATCTAGTTCATATCCTCAGTGGCTGTGTGATCTTGGGAAATTTCCCTTAACTCTCTGTGTCTTGGTTTTATAGTTTCATCCATTTTTGCCTCTCATATGAGCTGGTGAGCATTACACTAGTTTATGCTTCTAGGACACTGAAAACAGTACCTGGCTCTTGATAAATATTAACAATTTTGTTTCATTGTCTTCACCTTGAGTATTTCATGGCCAGATGGAAATCAATGTCAATATGAAAAAATGTTCATAATTCAGCAGGAAGAAATACAAAACCATATAAACAACTTTGTTTTACTGGCAAGTGTATTTGGAAGCTATGTTAAATTGAGAAGGGGAAGCCTCTAAGGATATCGATTAATCAATGACCGAAAGCTGATGAGACTTGTCTGCAATTTTTTTTTGGAGACTCTGAGACTTAAAGTTTTGACAAAATAAGGAGATGAATTGAGTAGTGTGGAAGAGACATTTTCTGAAGTCATCAGAGAAAGGAGAGACAAATATGTAAGGGGAAAGTGGTATGAAGTAATAATATCTATGAAGTGTTTTCTAAAGTATAACACATGTAAGTTGTGTTAAATGTAATCTATCATGATTATATCATTACTGTCTGACTGATACAACTATATCCACCTCAGTTAGCCACATAAGATCAATTTTCCTATACCTTAGAGAATACCAGTAACCTCCAGTTCAGAAACAGCATAAATATCTATCCACAGCTGAGCAGACACATACAGCTAGCTACCAGATGAAATGGGCTATATCTTCAAATACTATTGTTTTCCGTTTTTTAACTGTGGCAAAACACACTCAACAATTTGCATCTTAACTACTGTTAAGTATACAATTCAGTGTCATTAAATGTATTCACAATGTTGTGCAAGCATCACCACCACCCATCTCCATAATTCTTTTTGTCTTGTAAAATTGAAATCCTGTACCCATTAAAAAGTGACTCCCCATTCCCCGCCCTCCCAGGGCAACTACAACTTTACTTTCTGTCTTGATGAATCATACAATATCAAATGGAATTTTTAAGATATTTAAAATCTTTTGTCTGGAAGCGAAGTGGAAGTTAATATCAATGGCTATGCCTTCAGTGAGTTCTCAGACCACATTACAATGTAGTTAACTATTTATCTTTTATTACGTTCTAGATCTATTATTTCTTTCTGGCACAAAAATATCTTCTTTGAAGATTATGGCATTTACCTCTATCTCCACACCTTTTTGCGTCTGTCATCCACAGATCATCAGCCTCTTAGTCTCTATTTAATGACAATTTCTATTTAGTATACAACAGTCTTTCCCCCTGCAATGCAATTTCTTCACTCTGAAAAGCTCTGACTCTGGCTAATGGTCTCTGTTATGTACTCATCCCTAGAGCCATGTCTTCAAATATTTCTCAGAACTTCTTCACATCTAAAAATCTAGGATTAATTTATTGCTCTATGATTATATTCTTCTGGTATTTCAAGTATCGTGTATAACTTCTTCATCTGCCCTTGCTTTTCTTCTACATCAAGATGTCAAGTTCATGGACTTCCCAATTAATCATTTTAAAAATTTATTTCAAGCCTTTATGAGTCACCACAATGTACATATGTTCTCAGGAATTATGGCCCTACAATTTGTATGTGAGAATAGTTCCTGTGTCAGGCATTATGGACATAAGAGTAAATAAATTCTAGCCCCTGCCTACAAGGAGCTAATTCCCAGCCTAAGACAGGTTGCAAGCCAATAATTTGCAGAGTTGTAAGTCTAAGGAAACTGATTGGGATGTACCTAATTCGAGCTGGGAATATCAGAAGAAAAACTTTTTGAAAGTCATGAGACATGAGCTATACCTAAAAGAATAAAAAATAGAGAGAGAAATAAGAATAAATAAATTAGGGAATGAGATGGGTATAATAGTAGAAAAAGGAAATCTCTTTAGATAAAACAGGTTATGAGAGTATATAGGAGGCTTATTAACTCAGTGTGGTTGGAGAAAACAGGTTGAAAGGAGAAATAGGAGAGAAAGTTACAAAGGGAATCAAATGTGTTAGTAGTTGAGGGAAAAGAAAATATTGAATACGACCCATAGATCTTGGATAACCCAGTGTTTGGTAGTAGCTTACATAAAAGGTTGTGACAAAATAACCAGAGGTATGCAGAGAAAATAATAACTGAGTGTTATATTTTCTCTCAGTAGAAACCTAAAAAAAAAAATGTAATCACACCCTGATCTTTTAACTGACCTCCACTTTTCTTGATGCCTGGATTGGTATACATATTCCTCTGCCTGAAAAATTGCTCAACACTTTTGAAAAGTTGTTTCTCACTGTTACACCCAGGCATTTCTGCTAACACCAGCTGAGTTGTAAGGGGCCCTCCAGGAGGCCTAGGTCGTTCTCCTTATCACATACATTATTTTCATTTATCAATTTACCCAGAACATCTAATGAAATATGGACACCAATAACATGAATACAAATATAGCTATAGACCCTAAAAAGTAAATTGATGTCTCTTCAAAGGCTGTAATGTCTTAGATGCTAAATTTGGAGTATGTGTTTCTAATAAATAAATAGCTTGCTTTAATAATTCTGATTTATGAATGTAACATAGGGGAGCAGCTTTTATTTCGCCCTTAATCTTAAAAAACAATTAGCCGGGTGTGGTGGCGGGCACCTGTAGTCCCAGCTACTCAGGAGGCTGAAGCAGAAGGATGGTGTGCACCTGGGAGGTGGAGCTTGCTGTAAGCCAAAATTGTGCCACTGCACTGCAGCCTGAGTGACAGTGTGAGACTCTGTCTCAAAAAAAAAAAAAAAAAAAAGATCATACAAGGAGTAAATGATGATTTAGCATAAAACACAACTTGAGCCTAAAACACAGATCATAGGGCTCAAACTTTGTTATTTTATGGGATTATACTAACCAGTTAATATTCAAAATTTACCATTTCAAAAGAAGAAATATTGGTCTGGGAAAATTGCCATTGCTTATACAGAAGAATGGAGGAAGCTTTTTGAGAACGACAGTTCTAATGATCTTCCTCATCACTGGTTCAAAAACCAAGCCCATGGAAGGCCTGCATAGGGATAATGTGGAGAACATGCAAAAGAAATACACATCACCAGCTCCTCAACTCAGAGCTCCAAGGGAATGGCTAAGGAAGCTGTATTGTCCTAAGAAATTTGAGACTGTTTTGACTTACAATAAATCCTGCTCAATCATATGTATGTATACACACACGCACACACACACACACACACACAGACGGTGTTGTCAGTGAAGCCTCTAACAATGCATCTTGACTGGACAGATTTGACAATTAAAATGGCTGGAAGAAAATAGGCTTCATAAGTGGCACTTACTATTCACATTACACATTAAAAGGACATCTCCTAAATTAAATCTTGTCTATGATAAAAAGGCAGAAAATCATGACCCAAGGCTCGTTTATAACGGCAGAAATGTTCAAGATAGACCAATGCTTGCTATGTTTAGGAACTGACAATAAAGTACAGGTCTTTATAATCTACCATTTTGCCTCATTTGACACCAGGTGACCTTCATAATGCAGGCAATAGAGAATTGCAAGATTTGTCAGAGATTTCAGGTCTTTGGAAAGCTATGCTCTTTCACAAGAACAGCCATGGAAACAGGAAGAAAGTCAATTCCCACTTAAGGTAATCAGAATTTACAAATATTCCTTTCTTCATTGAAATCTCAATAGGCACTTCAATATTATATTTAATTAATTCTTTTGTTACAATCATGCATCACATAACAACATTTTGGTCAAGGATAGTGCACATGTATGACAGTGGTGCAGTAAAATCATAACACTGTACTTTTACTGTACCTCTTGTATGTTTAGACATGTATACACTTACTGTATAGATATAAGTAAGTATAGATATACTTAACTGTTGTGTTACAATTGCCTACAGTATTCAGTACAGTAACATGCTGCACAGGTTTGTAGCCTAGGAGGAATAGGCTATACCACCTAAGCTAGGCATGTAATCAGCTATAGCATCTAGGTTTGTGTAAGTAAACTCTATGATGTTCATACAATAATAAAATTGTCCAGCAATGCATTTCTCAGACACACCCCTGTCATTAAGTGACACATGACTGTATTAGTTAACACTATGGGAACTTCATGGGAAATGAACACTGCAGCTCCACCATAAATAGAAACTGTTTACGTCAAAAAACACATAAAAGCATAGTTGCAAGATTACAATTCCTTCCAGATATTTCATTTAGTATCTCCACAGATCACTCACTGCCTGAATAGCATTCTTGTGTCTCCACTGCCTCACATTTGATTTCAGGTCATTCCATCAATTGTCAAAGACGTATCCAACATTAACTTTCCAACTACTGGCTTGGATTCTGTCAACATTGTCATCCTGGGCCACAACAACACAAAAGGCTAACTCAGTGAGGTAACATAGACACTGATCAGTGAGATTTTGCTGATGGGTGGTACCATTTTTTACTAAGATCAAGGGTATTCATACCTTCAGGCATCTAGATAACATTGAAAAGGGTAGGTTCATAGATAAAAAGGGAAAGAGGAAGGGTTTTTGCAGTATACATGAGCTACCGTGTCTCCTGTTTAACCTGAGTCTGAAGAGATTCAAAGTGCAGGTGCCATGAATGCCTCTTTAATAGTTCAATGTCGATTGATTTTCTGGGCTACATTTCCCAGCATTCAAATTGCTAAATGCATATAAACTACTACTGAATATTTATTACCTGGATTTGTGTTTTTGAGTGACCTTATCTATAGTTATGTGCTTCAGTGATCCAACTTGGGGTGGACTCCAAACTTTGATAAATTAAAGACCCTGCTTATTCCTTGAGTAATGCTACACTGACAACTGATTTAGTGAATGCCACTGTTAAAATAATAAACCTCTTGGTGAATATATTTAGACATGTCTTGTAACCTGTACACATCTTAACCGAGGATGTTACTTGGTCTTTCTATGTTCAGGAGTGTGTGGAGATAGAAAAACATACAGGATTGTAATTGTTTCCTGTGAGACTAACAGAAAATTCAAGCTAGTGAAGTATGTTTATGCATGGCACACTTCTCACCAGCAATTTTAGGAAGTTCTACCCACAACCCATATGTCTTTTGATATGTGTGTTACCTTGGAGAGAGAAAAAGAAACTCTGAACACAAGCATGAAATACTTTAGAATTTTATCTAGAGTTGGACTTGTCCAAAAGCTTTTGTATAAACTTGCTTGATGAGCAACTGTTGTCCACTGGTACCTTCACTGTACAATCCACACACAACCAAACTTCACAACTGGACACCTAAATTTGCACTTTGTTTGGTAAAGTTGAATGAAAAATGTTGTCTTTTAAGCTTATGCTCTCTTATGAAAGCTATTATTAGATGAATTTTACTCCAAGATATGCCAGTTAAGAAATAACTTCCAATTTAATTTCACCAGCTCCCTGTGGGTGGACTAATTAGTCATACATCACACTTACTCTGGTGGTGAAATGCCTCAAAAGAAGGTCTCCAGAGTGTTGCTCTACCTAGAAGGACAAGAAGGAAGAGACATAAAAATCATTCATTAAGAAGGAAGATTTTCCTTGCCTATATTTTCACTTGTAGGATCCAATTAATTTTATCACTTAATATTTTTTCCTGGTGGGCATTCATTTTACAAATTTGTAAGGTCAGTAGAAATGGAAACTTTTGGAAATCGAACTGTAAATGTTCTGTAGACATTGACAGAAATAGCTATTTGGAGCTGTGCTTTTGCCAACTAGACGCTCTGAGAAAATCTGTGAGAGGATATTTTCAGGAAGTCATTGAACCCCCTAAAAATCAAGTTTATTGCTTTTACCATAAATATAAATAATTAATTTATTATCAACCACTTTCAATATTCCAATAAGTAACCTTTATTGTTTATTTCATTGACATGATCTACATAGACACACAATTTATCTTCTTTTGCGATACATTCAGAAAATTTGCTGCCTGGAAAAGCCATGTTTTAAAATTACCACCTGTTTGATGACTTGTTTTTGTACTTTAAGTTTTAGGGCATATGTGCACAACCTGCAGTTTAGTTACATATGTATACATGTGCCATGTTGGTGTGCTGCACCCATTAACTCGTCATTTAGCATTAGGTATATGTCTTAATGCTATCCCTCCCCCCTCCCCCACCCCACAACAGGCCCTGGTATGTGATGTTCCCCTTCCTGTGTCCATGTGTTCTCACTGTTCAATTCCCACCTATGAGTGAGAACATGCAGTGTTTCATTTCCACTTAAGTATCTATCTCTATTTGTCCTTTATTTTCATTTCCATCCTAGCTCTATCCCTTGTCTCCTTTGTGTGTCTCAGTATAAGTGCCGTATAACATTTTATATTTCTGGAAACCCTTCAATATAAAGTTATTACATGTAAAAATAAAAAGTCTGTTTTAGCCAACTTTTTCTTCACAAATTATATTTTCCTACTTCCCTATTAGACAATTTTTGTAGGCTCCATATGCTATTAATTTACATTCACTTTTAGAAGAATTTTCATCAAAAGCAAAAGTATTAGGTAAATTGATTGTATGCTATTTATACTTCTATGTATATATACACACATAGCCACATACATATATGTAACTCCAGAGGCCTGCCTGGACTGTTTAATAACTGTATTGAACAAGAGCAAGAAAAAGCTATTCAAATTTCAAACAACAAGTTGAACTGATGACCTCACATCTTTGAATGAAATAGACACTAGTAGCCTTTAAAAATTAAACATTTCTACTGTTTTAAAAAATTATAGCCATCATAGTATGAGGAAAAAATGTAATAATCTTTTTTAATTCTTGCCATTTTATTAACCATGGACTCCTTATGCCCTAACTTCATTGGTACCCCTTTGAGATTAAACAGAACACTTAATTTAAAAATCTGATAAATAAATTAATTACACCATTTACTTGAGGTACTCTTTCACCTTTCAAGAAATATTTTGAGAATTCATTAGCTAAATATTGCTATAATGCAGGCTAGTAATAAATGGAAAGAATGAATTCATTGTAAAGTTTAAACTAATGATGGTATGATCTGGAATTTTTGTTAACTTAGAAGACATAATTAGCTTTAGAGGTGAAATGAAAGACAAAATCACTTCACATATTAGTAAAAAACAAATAATATAACTTTATAAGCTACTGCTGTTCTTTTGCTATTAAGAACCAATGACATCTGTAATTAGGGAAGATTATGGAAAGGTTAAAGATGAGATTACATGCAGTCTATCTACAGGAAACCTAAACTGTTTAGGTTAAGGAAATGTCTGAGAAAGTCATATTAATTAGCAGGTTCACAGGAAACTAACATTTATTGTATAAATTCCATGGTAAAATGTATTAGGGCTCCACGCACACAACTATGTGCCATCTACTTTACCACACAGTGCTTACTTCTTTCAGTCTTTATTCATTTCTCTCCTAATGGTCTCTATGGTATTATTACATAGTTCTAAAAACCTTCCATGAGGCGGAAATTTCATTTAATCATATAGCTTCAAAAATAATGAAAAACAGTAGAAACTTTCTTTTTTTATGAAGCAGAATTGTTGAATTTTCAGTTTCATTTATTTAATATTACAAGATGACAAACATATTTCTTTAATTCCCTCTTGTTATTTTTGTTTAACATCAACCAAAGCCATTTCTTTCATTTGAAGGTGAAAACTGCTCATCAAAATCCAGTTTAAGCTGAGAAACAAAGAACTAAATTTTGCATGAGAGATTATACACTGCATAAGTATAAAACAGGACCAGAAACAATGGTGGATTAGCAATTTTTAAAAAGACAAATGCAGGTTATCATCAAATCAATTGTTACCAACACACCAATTGCACCTCTAGGCCAGAAAATTAGCCACTTACCCACGGGAAAACAATGATTGAAGACAAAGTTCACCAGTGAAAGTTGGTTATTTTTTTCCATCCTTGCATCAACTAACATGATATCTACAGTTCCTCTTAACACTTTTCTGAGTTTCAAATATGTGGGTATGCTTCATTAACTGAGGTCATTTTCCATATGTACATCTGGCTACAAGGGAAACTGGGAATGTGAGCCCTGATCCTAATGTTTGTAGAGTATTTAGAAATTTGAGAATTCCCTCCAAATAAAGAGTTTTTTAAAACATTGTTAGAAAAAAAGTTTGAATTACAAAATGCGATAGTAGCTCAGGTCTAAGTCAAATGCAGGGAAAAAAACTGTTAACTCTAAAAAAAATTAAATACACATTTGATGCCAATGAGAAACAGAAAACAGGCAGAAATAGTAGAATATTCAACCACTGATGAAGTATTTGACCATTGAATAAAGAAAATTGCAATGATTTAAATTTGCATCAATGCAACTTCACACCTGATGACGCTTCCCAGTCTGTGCAAAATTAGATGTCTACGAGTAAAGCGGTGAGTTTTACTAGCTTGAGGAAAAAGAGCACAGAGTTCCAGGCTGACAAAAAAGAAGAACTGGGAAATTTGAATGACATGGGAGGAAATCTCACACAACTGAAAGTCACAGAGGAGAATGTCACAGAGTAAAAATCTAAAATCAGCACTTAAACTTCATTCAGATATATGATGGCTGCTACATTTCACATTGATAAAAAGAGACTCCATAGAATCCAGCAGAAAACAACAGCTAAATTGCTAGTACAGAGCAGAGATTTCAACCATTGCATATAGCTCAGGAGTGAAAGTTTGGTGTTTGACTACAGAAAAAAGACTAATGTTAGAAAAGAGTCACTCTTCAAAGGAAAATAGAAGAACCTATCTCTACAAAATATCATACACATAATCTAACATATAATTTAACCTGCCTAGACATAAAACCAGGAAAATATGACGCATAACAAAAAAAGTAAACAATGGATTAAGACAGTGAAATGGCCCACATGCTGGGATTAGAAGATAAGAAATTTAAAATAAGCTATTACAAGCATATTCAAGGATTTAAGGAATAGATGGTCATAAGAGGGAATACATGGAGAATCTCAACAGAGAAGTAAAAACGATAAAGAGATAATAGGACAAATTTTAGAACTGAGAAACAGAATATCTTATATAAAAATGTCATTGTATGCACATACCAGTAAATTAAAGATGGCAGAAAAAACTATCAGTGCACTTAAAAACAGATCAAGAACAATTTCCCAATACAGTTAATAAAAAGAAAGAAAAATAATAAAAATAGGGCCAGTCTAGCACTAATATAATTGGAGTCCTAGAACGAGTAGAGAAGAAAATGAGACAGAAAAAGCTATTTGAAAAAGTAAAGACCAAAAGTTTTCCTAATTGTCAGCATATATCAATTTACAGGTTTAAGAAACTCAAAGAACAGAATAAAAATAAAGAGAACCAAATGTAGACATACCATAGTCAAGCCACTGGGCAAAAAAAGAGTAAATCTTGAAAGTAGCTAAAGGGAGGGAGAAAATAATTTACATACGTGGAAACAAATAGACAGATGACCTGTCATCAGAAATGACACTTTAAAAAGCAATGAAACTACATCTTCAAAATAAAAGAAAACTGTCAACTCAAAATTCTATCACTAGAAACAGTAATTCTAGAGAAAAGAAAGATTTAGTCAGATAAAAGAAAGCTTCGAACAGTTGTCATTAGCAGACCTAGATACAAGAAATGCAAACGGGAATTTTTTAGGCTAAAGAAAGATAACAACAGATGGAAATTCTGACCTACAGGAAGCAAGGAGAAGCTCTAGGAATGGCATGTGCATAAACATGAAAAACTAAGGCTTTTCTCTTTTAGTTTTATAACAAACAACTGATGGTTTCAATAAAAAATTAAGTGTACTATTGATAATGTATGTAAAATATTCTAAATTAATAGCTCTGACAGGAGACTAAACGCAACAATTTTGCTGCAACTTTTCTTTATGTTACATGAAAATGCTGACTATTAACACTAAGTGGACTGCGATAAGCCCAGGATGTTTATTATAATCCCTAGAGAACCACCACATTATATGAAGATATTCTTCTAAAATGCCAATAAAGGAATTAAAATGGAACCCTGAATAATGTTCAGTTAATATAAAAAGGCATGAAAGAAAGAACAGAGGAGCAAAAAATGATGGAACAAATAGAACATAAGAGCAAAATAGGCTCGGTACCGTGGCTCAGCCTGTAATCCCAGCACTTTGGGAGGCCGAGGTGGGTGGATCACGAGGTCAGGAGATCGAGACTATCCTGGCTAACACGGTGAAACCCCGTCTTTACTAAAAATACAAAAATTAGCCGGGGGTGGCGGCGGGAGCCTGTAGTACCAGCTACTCCAGATGCTGAGGCAGGAAAATGGCGTGAACCCGGGAGGTGGAACTTGCAGTGAGCCGAGATCCCGCCACTGCACTCCAGCCTGGGTGACAGGACCAGACTCCGTCTCAAAAAAAAAAAAAAAAAAAAAAAAGAAAAGCAAAAATAGTAGGCTTAAATCCAAACTTTTCAATAATTATTTCAAATGTAATTTAAATACTCCAAATAAAACACAGATTGTCCAACTGGATAATAAAAGTACCTATAAGAGATGCATGCCAAATATTATGGTATAGATAATTTGAGAGTAAAATAATTTCCAAGTATACCAAGGAAACAACAAGCACAAGAAATCTTATGTGGCTATATTAATATAAGAAAAAGTAGACCTCCAAACAAGCAATATTACAACAGACAGCTATTTCATAATGATAAAATGTCAAGTAATTATGAAGACATAATGCTGTATTGTTGACAGAATAACTAAAGAAAATTAAGATAAAATAATTTTGACAGCAGCTTGACCTAATCGATATTGACCAAGACAATAGAATATATGTTCTATTATGCTACACATGAAACATTTATCAATAGGCTATAGACCACAAAATATCTCTCAAGAAGTTCCAAAACACTGTAATCATAGAAAGTATGCTTTCTGACTATAATGAAAATGAGTTGAAATGGGTAAAAACAAGCTACCCAGGAAAGCCTACACTATTGGAAGATTTAAATACATCTTAAAATGCCCTTTAGCTCAAGGAAGAAATCATAAGAAACACCTTTAAATACATTGAACTGAATACAAATAAAAATATACTATATCAAAATGTATGGGATAAAGTTAAGCAGACCCAGAGTAAATTTTTTGTATAAATGCTTATTCTAAAAAAGAGAAGTTCAAAACAAGTGAACTAATTTTCTACCTTAAAAAGAAAATCTAAAACAAGAGAGCAAATTAAGTCCAAAACAAGTAGAAGAAAAGAAATAAAACAGAAATTAGAAATCAATGAGACAGAAAACAGAAACAGGAGAAAATCATCATGGCCAAAAGTTAGTTCTGTGAGAAAGAAAGAAAACGCAAATTATAAATATCAGGGATTAATGAGATTGTACAGTTGTAGACACAAGAGACATTAACAAGATAATGGAATATTGTGAAACATTTTATACTAATTTTCATTACTTGGATGAAAGGGTGAATTCCTTGAAAAAAAGTTATAAAAAAATTCGCAAGATTAAATGGAACATATGAAGTAATTGACATTTATTAAAGTAATTAAATTAATTCTCAAATACCTGCACATAAAAACATAAAGCTAAAGAAATAAAAAATAAGCAAACTCCAGATCCAAAGAGTTTTGCTGATGAATTCTTTCAAACGTTTAAAAAAAATAAAATTTTTAAATTATTTCAGAAATAAAGAAGGGGGAAATTCCAAACTTGTTTTATGAGTCAGAATCCTGATAGCAAAACTACAAAACCCAGGAATGCAACATTGATTTCAACTTAAAGAGCTATCACCATTCTAATATGTGATTCTAATGAATTTGGCTATCTTAGATACCTTATACAAGTGGAATCATACAGTTTGTCCTTCTGTGACTGATTTACTTTACTTAGCATTAATGTCCTCTACGTTCATCCATGTTGCATATTGCCGGGCTTTCTTGTTTTAAAGCTGAATAATATTCCGTTGTATGAATATACCACATTTTCTTTATCTATTCATCTGCCAATAGACATTAACCTCATTTCCACATTTTGATTAGTGTAAATAATGCTGCAATGAGCCTGAGAATCATCCCAATCTCAATTCTTTCAGATAAATAACCTGAAGTGGATTGCTAGATCATATGGTAGTTCTAGTTTCTTAATTTTTTTGAGGAACCACCGTACTGTTTTCCATAGAGGCTGCACAGTTTTACTTTTCCAGAAACACTGTATAAGTGTTCCAATTTCTCCCCATTGTTATCACTCGTTATCTTTTTCTTTTAATAAGACCATTCTAACAGGTTTGAGGCAATATCTCTTTGTGGTTTTGATTTGCATTTCCCTGATGATTAGTGATGCTGAGCATTTTTTTCATGTATCTGTTGGTCATTTGGATATTTTCTTTGGAGAAATATCTATTGCTGATTTTAAAAAGAACCTCTCAGCAAGCTAGAAAAAGAAATTTTCTCAAAGCGATGGAAAGCATCCACAACACAACATATAAACAATATTACATTTAATGGTGAAAGCGTAAATGTTTAAACTACATAGATTAGGACAAGAAAGGAATGTGTGTGTTCATCACCTCTATTCAACATTGTACTGGTAATCCTAGATTCTGAGTATAAATATTTAGGGGACAGCTATTGTCACTGAAGCCCAAATCTTGGTCATCCTCAGAAAGAAAAAGAAAAGGTGATTAGATTGTACGTAATCTAATTCTAATTGCTAATTTAATTTCTCTAAAATTACAGCTTGTATCAACTCTAGAATTTATTGGGCACCTCCTAGGACATAAACACTGGAATTTGGTGAGAGACATCACATAGGAAAGAACCTGGCTCTGACATAAATTCAACACACGGAGGGGGACACATGTTATGAGACTGACCTGGCCTCTCCATCTCATAAAAGGGGTTCTTGTTGCTGGTAACACAGATTAAAACTATTTCAATTACATTCAAGATAAAAAGATTAGCAATGGTATGCAAGATGAAAAAATCACCCCGCAGGAAGACAAAAGTCTCACAAAAGGATATTTAAACTAGCCAACACTTTGAAATTCAGGCAGAGATCATGCTTTCTGGGTGAACTAAGGTAGCAAGAACAAAGTAGAGGCTCCAATTCTAGGAAAAATGGGCCCTAATAAGGTTTACAATCCAGAAACCCAAGAAATCCAGACAGAAGGATGCAGTCTCCGCTTTCAAGGCAGTAGCAGTACCTGGATTACTAAGCCAATCCCCAACACAATCATAAACACAAATTTGATTGAGGAAGAAGCTTGCCCACCAGAAGATTTAGGTTATTACAAGGTAGAATGTGATAGAGAAAACGAGCATGGGACTGGAAAGAAAAGGAGGTAGCCCCATGATCACAACTGGAATATATCTGTCAGAGATGGTGCAGAAATAAGACTGAAGAGAGAGATCCTTAAACCCCATGTGCCTTACGTAAGGACTAATCCTGGACACAAGCTGGAAAGCATAGCCTACAGGTGGTGAGGGAGGAGGAGTGGGCTCTGCTGTGAGAAGGAGAAGGAAATATGGCTGAAAACCAGATATGGGTCTTGAAATCACACCGAGGATTTGGGCCTTTGCTGCTGTCTGCCAGCAGCTGCCAGTAGTTCTCACACTTTGGCTGGCATCAAAATAACCTGGGGCAGTTGTGGGGAAGTGGCGGGAGTGTTGTAAAACCACAAGTGACCAGGAAAAAATCACCTGTATGTTTTCCAATTCAGTAAGTACAGAAATATTAATTGGAAAAAGGTGGAGATCAGACATTGATAGTGCTGTGAACTGCTCCAGGGACATAAGCATGATCTTTAGAGAGGTGACTCCAATCAGTTGAGGGCAACCACTGGACAGAAAGAGGTCCAGACTAACCGTACACAGAGACATCATACAACTACACTTTAGCAACTTCTCCAAATAACATGTCTCTTACTGAAACTTGGGAGGTTGAAAGTTAAAAACATAAAATCCAGTGGCATTTATGTATCCTAGGCACTTACATTCTTCCAACTTGCCTTTGCTTGGTTAGAGTTTTGGGTAGATAAGAGGTGGATTTACATGTGCTAGTGTGAGAACTTTGATACACTCATTTAGACATTGACCTGCTATGTTGATATTTGAAAGCTCAAACCCAAAGAAATTTGTCTTTTTAGATAAAACAAATTCAGCCCTTACCTTCCTTATCGATTACATCTTCCACTAGCAGTAATAAAAAAGTAACAATATGCATAAGTCAAAGTATCTTCTTAAATCCTCTGTAGTGTTTTATTATTTAGTTGTGTTAATTAAAGTAACTGTCTCAAAATTTCAAGGAATGCCTGAGAATAAATTCATGTTCAAAGGCTGCCCTCTTGTGACAATGTGTTGTATGTTTTACTGTAAAAGTAATCTTATTTTACCTTATAACCTCTACAATCCAATTCATAACAGCATAAAAAGGAAATAAAACCTTACATAATTTTGAATTTTGAAAAGTACCTTGTTTATTTGGTTCCTTTAGCTAATGAATAGACAATTTGGTAAATATTCCAGTGAGTTGAAGGTTTGAATCTATCTCACTTAACTAGCTTAATGGATATATTTCTAAACCTATACAACCCACTCCTCTGCTTTTAAAAAATTAAAGTTAGCTGTAGATTGAGATGTCAGTGACACAGTTTATAGAACATAACTTAGATTGTCATCTACATTACTGTAACTACAAATACCACCCTCAGATGGAAGAATCAGTTTTATCAGTGAACATCTCTAATTGAACTATAAATGGTATATGTCTTCTGGCTTTTACAAGCTCTTGGTCTAACACGGGATATATGATGTAAAAATTACAAAGCAAGGCCATGCACGGTGGCTCATGCCTGTAATCCCAGCACTTTGGGAGGCCAAGGTGGGCGGATCTCAAGGTCAGGAGATCGAGATCATCCTGGCTAACACGGTGAAACCCCATCTCTACTAAAAATACAAAAATTATCTGGGTGTGGTGGCACACGTCTGTAGTCCAAGCTACTCAGCAGGCTGAGGCAGGAGAATCGTTTGAACCCAGGATGCGGAGGTTGCAGTGAGCTGAGATCGCACCACTGCACTCCAGCCTGGTGGCAGAACAAGACTCCATCTCAAAAATAAATAAATAAATAAATAAATAAATAAATAAATAAATAATAAAATAGCAATGACTATAATGTTTTGTGATGTTAAACTTTGAGAGCTTTTTTTTTCTTTCTTTTCCCAAGTCCCTTTCCCAGTTCCAGAAGCAGAGTTATTCTAAGCTCACTGATGTAAACGAATAGAAAGAAAAGGTTTGGTGGAAAAACTAATAACTTGCTGTCCTTTCTGTCTTTTGTTTTTTAAAAGCTTGAGCATTTGGGAGAATTTGGAAAGATTGTGGAGTAAGTGCAAAGAAGGAATTTGCTAAAAAAAATTATATAGGGTAAAATGAGTTTTTTCCAGGTTAGAAAATATCCACTCCCTACACTCCTACATTCCTTTCCCATGTTTAAGAAGAGGAAAAAACGAAGGCCTCTTGGTGAGCAGTCGTGACTTCGGCAGTTTCTTAGAAATATTGTAGAAGGCATAGTCATCTTTAAAAAAAAATAGCTACAAGGATATGTCTAAGCAGAAGGGACCATGGGCCAAATTACGTGTAGATTTTTGCATTCCAAATATGGTAAAGAAGAAGCAGGAAGCTGGGGGGCCTAAACAAGCCACACAGAAATGGACAAGGAAGAGGCCAGCAGCAGCTTGTGGGGGCAAGACGTCAAGCCCCGAATGTTAAACCCACCATCCATCCTCCAAATTCTGGCTCTGTTTAACAAGGCTGTGGTCTGACACTAGATGCCGCCTCCGTGACTAAAGCATAATTCCCCTTCTCCTGGGAGTGTTGACAGCTGACTCCTGTCAACAATACTCACAGCACAGTAAAGTTCCTTCATCCAAGTCCATGTCCCTTCTCAAGGCATCCCACATCCGAGAACTGCTTGGTACAGAAATATAATGGCCTTGTTTGCTTGCTCCAATTCGAGGTCATTAGGTAAACTCACCAAGATCCCTGTAGAGTGGACTGCGGCCATGATAGTGATTGCATTCCAGCCGACTTCCTGCTCCACCCAATCCTATTGCTTTCACTCTTCCACGGGTGTTGGGAATATCATTTCAACCTCCTTGCATGCAAATCTCCAACTCAGAGTCGGCTTCCTAGGACACTTGACTGGTGACATCTCTATCACTATCACAGTACTTAGAAGGGAGCATCTTAAAATGATTTAAGGCTAACTGCCCTAACAGCACAGGCAGATGGTGGCTTAAAATAGAATTTAAGTGGACTTAAAAAAACATGAAAAAAGTTGACATTGCACGCTCATATGAGCTTATGGATCAAACCATGTGTATGATTTTTAAGATCCCTCGTGCAGTATATATTTGCACTTTTTATAAATGACATCCCCTTAAATTGAATTCAGTGCAATTCAAAACAGTAATTTGTGGGAAAATTAGATATGTAGATAGCCTGGACTCTAGAGAGGCACACATCATTTGGAGAATAATAGTGAACCGGCTGGTCTATGAGGGAAGAAAACAGAGTGAATATAGACTATTATTGAACAAGGATATTTTCCCATGTATATTCAAATTAAGGTGAATTTCTTTACAGAATTATGCCTTAGAAAGAAAAAGTATTTCCCTATATTTGAGTCCTCACAAGTTTTCCTACGATGAGTGCTTTTGTGATTATTTTGAATAACAAAGTAATATTTAAAGAAACTCTCTTGCCCTGAATGTACTTTAATTTATGTCAATTGATGTTGCATATAGAGATCATCAAAGTCAAGCTACAAGAAAAAGAGGAACATAACTTAACAAAGACTTAGAGGATTAGTCCTAATAGTGTGAAATCAAAATTTCAAGTGAGGGAATAAATACAGCTTTTAATAATTACTTAAATGCAGTTTACCTCTAGCAGGATCTACAAGAAATTGGCAACCTTTGGCTTCAGTAACAGAAACTCAGGATATATGCCCTTCAGTGCTTTTGCATTCTGCATCATATTGAGAGAGACTCCTTTAAACAGCAATAAGAAACTTCCTGTGACAACATAATAAATTCAAAAAGTTCTGTAACTCAATTTAGATAGAAGTGAGAACTTTGGCCTATAAAGCCCTGTTCAACCTAAAGATGGATTAAACAATGAAAAAGATATTGATATCAAAAATTCAATCAGGAATTTGATTAAAACATTTCATTAAATGTGATAATTTCTTAGTATATTATCTTACATATGCAATATTCATGTGTAACAAATTAAATACAAGTAAACATTTGACCATATTATCTGCAGCATAATTTACATATCAATTTACATATTCAGTTTTGCTCACATGAAAACTTGGATCTTCTCAATAAGAAAATATATGAAATCTTTAATTCCTCATCCCCAGGAATGTAAATAAATAAATATAAATACTGTAAGTCAGTGATTTTTTCCTAGGAAGACAGTAAAAATACTTTACACGCCTTCTCATTGTAAACCTAAATAACAAACAGAGAAAGGCTCTCTAAAGGAAAAAGACACATCTTAGGGAGGAGGGCACTGCAATGGGAATATGCATGACAAAGCAAACTATATAGATTCAAATGGTAAAGGAAGACAAGGTCTTTAAAAGAAAAATGATCAACCTGGATACCTGGAAGTATGGGGGAGTAGAAAAAAATAAATAAAGGAAAAATGAAGAGGCTTCTATAATTGTTTTGATATAGTTACCTTTGACTATAAAGATCAACAACAAGGTCGATGTCAGTTGAAGTTTGGGCAGGCGGTTGCTGGATAGATGTCCTCACAGAAGTGTATTTTGTGTAAGGTTGCTATGGCCTTTGTGCAAGGTTGTGGTTTTTGTGGTATTTTGTGATAGTTGTTATCAGGCCTAGAAGCATGAGAACCCTCTCTTCAAGGCCTTTTCTGAATCTATTTGTTCAGTTTTTTTCTTTTCTTTTTAAACATTAGTGACAGTTTTGATTCATATAATGATCCCTAATTTCAAAAAAAATTAAACGTGTAACTTATTTATGATGTATTTGATAGGCTTGCATTTGTGAATCACCTCTACTATCTATAGTGGTAGATATATCTGAGCCTGCTTACACAGGACTTCCATCAGATTCTCTCTTCAGTGGAATTGGAAGAGGGGGTTTTGGAGAAGGGAATGAAGGAATTGTGCTGCATCAGAGGTCCCCACCTAACAGCCACATGGACTTTTTCTGTGCTCTTGCCAGGCCGTTGTATTGGCTGATGCAAAAGTAATTTTGGTTTTGTCATTGAAAGTAATGAGACCATCTGACTTACAATGTCTGTGCCATAACCAGCTCCTAATAGCCTCCGAGGACAGCTTTGCCCTGACATATACTGTCCTGGAACCACGTCTGCTTTGTAACTCCTGAGGTAGCTGCCACTATGACCAATGCCTTCTCATCTTTACTCTACATGCAGGTAACAGTTATAATTATGTCTCTGTGTATTCACAGAACATCCAGTACATCTGGGACTTCTACAAAATTTCCCTAGCTGATTTTGGTGTTCTGGGGTCCTGGCAGCTCTAGCCATGAAGGGATGATGCTTTAGCAGCATTTCTGTTGACTTTTTTGCTTTTTCTCAAAAACTGATTCCACTTTTCCCACATACGTTTGACAATTCATTTGAACTCATTTATTCTAAACCCATTATTTTTGGTCTATTATTTAATAGGGAGGGGGCAAGGGATAAAAGATTACAAATAGGGTGCAGTGTACACTGCTCGGGTGATGGGTGCACCCAAATCTCACAAATCTCCAGTAAAGAACTTACCCATGGAACCAAATACCACCGTACCCCAATAACCTATGGAAAAAAAAATAAAAAAGAGTCAGAAAGAAAGAAAATAATCACTGTACTTACCATGACACTTAGAAATGGTGACTAGCATTTTTTGTAAGTGTCACCTAATAATATTATTATTTTTTGTTTATGCTACAAACTAGCTCTGCTATTACAATCACTACTATTTGAAGTGTTACTAAATTAAATTAAATCTATTTTATCCTTCTGGACTCAGAAATGGGGGTAAATGCTAAGACAATTTCAGAATATGATCACATATTAAAAGCATATTATATGCGGAAAATGTGATTTTTAAAAAATAGAAATTGGTAGAGAAACAATTTTTGGGTCTTTAATTTCCGCACATTTTGCAAGTATGGACGCTGACTTTATTGTTCCAAATGATTGTTTTCAAGCATGTTTGTATAGAAAACAGCCTTGGAATAGAAAACCAGTACCTCCTTCTGGAACAAAGGAAAAGTTTATTTACTGTCTAGTATAATGCAGATAATTTCTCCCTCTTGGGAAGCATACAGCCAAGTGAACTTCCAATAACACAAGTTGGGGTTTCTTGAGCTTGGGTTTTTCTTCCACAGTGTAATGTGCAGGTGCCACTTGGCTCTCTTTGTGTTATCCTGGGAAAGCTGATGGCTGTAGGTGCATGTGTTTATTTTGGGGTTCTCTATTCTGTTTCATTGGTCTTTGTGTCTGTTTTCATATCAGTACCATGTTATTTTGTCTACTGTGGCCTTAGGGTATAGTATGAAGTCAAGTAATGTGATGTCTCCAGCGTTGTTCTTCTTGCTTAGATTTCCTTTGGTTGTCTGGGCTCTTTAAAAATCCATATGAAATTTAGAATATTTTTTCTAATTTTGTGAAAAACGACACTGGTTGTTTCATAGGAATAGTGTTGAATGTGTAGATTGCTTTTGGCAGTATAGCCATTTTAACAATATTGATCTTTCTAATCCATGAGCATGGAATGGTTTTCCATTTGTTTCGACATCTGTGATTTCTTTCTGCAGCGTTTTGCAGTTCTCCTTTTAGATATCCTTTACCTCCTTGGTTAGACATATTCTTCTTATATTTTATTTTATTTTGGGGGTTGCTGTTGTAAACAGGATTGCACTCTTGATTTACCTTTCAGTTTAAATATTTTTGGTGAACAGCAATGCTACTTCTTTTTATATGTTGATTTTTTTTTATCCTGAAAGTTTGCTGAAGTTTTTTTATCAGTTCTGGGAGCCTTTTGGCACAGTCTTTAGGGATTTCTAGGTGTAGAATCATATGATCAGTGAAGAGAGATAATTTGACTTCATTTCCTATTTGGATGTTTTTTATCGCTTTCTCTTGCCTGCTTGCTCTGGCTAGGACTTGTTAAACAGGAGTGGGGAGAACAGCCATCCCTATTTTATTCCTGTTCATAAGGGGAATGTGTTGGGAGAAAAGCTGAGTGTTGGAAGAGAAGCTGAGGCAGGGCCATATGTTTCTCATTCACTTGATACACCATTTCCTTTTAACCCCCACATCCTCACCACCTGTTTCTTTGTTTGAGCACCAACAAATAGCGTGGGCTCCCAGAGCTTGGGGACTTTGCAGACTCCACACTCGTGATGGTCTCCTGGTCCCACTTTCTCTCTCAAACTGTCTTTTTCTCATTCCTTTGACTCTGCCGGACTTCATCACCCCCATGACCTAGTGTTGGGTCTGATCACCCCAACATTCCTGGCGCCCAACATGGGGTGACAAAGACCCGGTGAAGGAAGGCTAGAGCATATGAAAGCAGAGGACACATCATCAAAAGACACGCGAGGACATACAAAGATGGGGAGTGAAATTTAGTACTTAGAATTTGTTATCACTCTTTAGTACAGTAAAGCAGTTTTGCCCATGGTTTCCAGAGCAAAGGACTATGAAGTTGGATGAATGGGAGAGAATTGGAAGAGATTTTTAAAAGGCATATAAAGATGGAGCAGAAATTCCAGTTTATATATGGTCAGTGTGGGCACTAATAAAGGCAGCCCTTGAGCCATTTCAAACAGATGATGAGGCAGATTCAGATGAGGAAGAGGAGGATGAGTGTAAAAAACTAACCTCAAATTCTGAGTGTGAGGAGCAGCTACCGGAGGAGATTAAATAAAAGAAAGAAAAACTTTAAAAAGTATGTTTTACTAGCCCGTTGGCTCCACCTGCTGAATTAAGTGAATGGCCACCTCCTCTCTCTCCCCTAAATGGGTGAGAAAATAAATTAGCTGAAAAACTTACTGCTCCTGTAGTTACAACATTAAAACCTGGAGCAATTGGTGGTGCTAGACAAAATTCTATTCAAAAAGCTAAAGCCAAGGGAGACCTTGAAGCATGGCAATTTCCCGTTACTATAATCCAGCAAGTAGGACAGAATATAGCTAATTAGCCTGCTTTTTCTTTTAAGTTACTAAAGAATTTAAGCAAGCCATTAGTCAATATGGACTGAACTCTCTTTTTGCGCAATCTTTATTAAAAATATGGCTCTTGATAATAGATTAATACCATATAATTAGGATACTTTGACAAAACCTGTTCTCACTCCATCTCAGTACTTGCAGTTTAAAACTTGGTAGGCTGATGAACTCAAACTCAGGCAAAAGAAAACACACACCTGCAGCCACCTGTGCCTGTTTTCTTTGATCAGTTAATATGAGTTGGCCCTAACTGGGGTTGATTAGAGAATCAAGCAGTAATGGAAGATGTTGCCATTGTTCAGCTGTGCTTCATGTGCTTACATGAATAGAAAAGGATAAATGTTACAGGGGAAAAGTATCCTTATTTCAGTTCTGTCTGACAAGGACCTAAAGAACCATATATTAATTTTATTGCTCAGCTCCAAGAGGTTGTGTATAAAGCCGTAAATGATCAAAACAGCTCAGGATGTTGTAATACAGCTTCTTGCATACAATAATGCTAATGCAGAGTGTCAAACTGCTATTAGATATCTGAGAGAGAAGGCTCATTTAACTAAATATATTAAGTCTTGCGATGGCATTGGAGGTAACTTACATAAGGCTATTCTTTTAGCTCAGGCTATGGCTAGATTAAGAGTAAGAAAAAATATGTTTCACTTCTCAGGCTCTTGCCTTAATTGTGGGCAAATTGGACACAAGAAAGGAATGTAGAAAGGAATTCAAAACACGAAAACTACTACCATCAATCAACAGAAAAGACCCAGTGTATGTCCCTGGTGTAAGAAAGGCAATCACTAGGCAAGTCCGTGTCATTCTAAATTTAGCAAAGATGAACAACCTCTTTGAGGAAATAGGAAGAGGGACCCGCCTCAAGCCCCTCAACAAACTGAGGCATACCCAGCACAGCCACTGCTCTTACAAATGTACAGCAATTGTCCCCCGCCTCAGCAAGCAGTGCTGCTGTAGACCTCTACAGCACAATTCCCATCTCCTTACTTCCTGGGGAGCTACGAAAGAAGGTCCCCACAGGAGTTAGGGCACCCTTACCCTGAGGAACTGTTGGGAACAAGCCCCCCAAATCCGGCCATAAACTGGCCCCAAAACTGGCCATAAACAAAATCTCTGCAGCACTGTGACATGTTCATGATGGCCATAACACCCACGCTGGAAGTTTGTGGGTTTACTGGAATGAGGACAAGGAATACCTGGCCCGTCCAGGGTGGAAAACCACTTAAAGACATTCTTAAGCCACAAACAATAGCATGAGTGATCTGTGCCTTAAGAATAAGGGATACTTTTAGTTAATCTGATATCTATAGAAACAATGCTAATGACTGGCTTGTTGTTAATAAATACGTGGGTAAATCTCTGTTCAGGGCTCTGAGCTCCGAAGGCTGTGAGACCCCTGATTTCCCACTTCACACCTCTATATTTCAGTGTGTGTGTCTTTAATTCCTCCAGTGCTGCTGGGTTAGGGTCTCCCCAACCGACCTGGTCTCAGCAAGTGGTGTCCATTCATGGGGGCTCGAATACAGGTCAAAGGATCACTGGAGCAACGATTGGAGAATGTGGAACTAGCTGGAGGACATCCGAGTACTCTTAAAGCAATCCCCATGGTGAGTCAGAAGGGGAGCTCGGAAGCATCAGGGTAACAATGGGACAAGTGTGGGCTGTGGTTCGTTCTACCTTGGAACTTTTTCACACTGATGATGAGGAGGAAGGAGAGTATAACAAAGTAACAGTAGAGGTTACAGACCAGGTTTATTTGTCACCTAAAGCTAAAGCAGAAAAGGAGGGAGAGGTTCATCCCTATCCTTCTGCACCCCCTCATTATTATTTTGAAGAAAATGACCCTCCAGATCTTTCTTTTCTGGAGGACACTGGGTGAAAAGTAGTTGCCCTGGTGACTGTTCGAGCACCGCCTTGAGCGACTGCTCTTAGTTCTATTCAGGCAGGAATTCAGCAAGCTAGACAAAAGTGGGATTTAGAGGCTTGGCAGTTCCCTGTTTGAATACACCCCCCAGATCAACAGGGAAATATTATAGCTACATTTGAGCCTTTTCCTTTTAAATTACTCAAAAAAATTAAACAAGCTATAAATCAGTATGGACCAGGTTCTCCTTTTGAAATGGGACTGTTAAAGAATGTTGCTGTTTCCAGTCGGATGATTCCTACTGACTGGGACACTCTTACTCTAGCTTGTCTAACTCCTGCTCAGTTCTTACAATTTAAAACTTAGTGGGCAGATGAAGCTTCCATTCAGGCTGCTCACAATGCCTGGGCCCAACCTCAAATTAATATAACTGCAGACCAACTTTTGGGGGTTGGTGGCTGGGCTGGTTTACATGCACAAGTGGTCAAGCAGGATGATGCCATAGAACAGCTTAGAGGAGTGTGCATTAGAGCTTGGAAAAAATCACTTCATATGGAGAACAATACCCTTCATTTAGTGCTATAAAACAGGGACCAAGAGAACCATATGTGCATTTTATAGCTTGGTTACAGGAGTCTCTTAAAAAGATGATTGCAGATTTGGTTGCTTAGGATATAGTGTTGCAGTTATTAGTTTTGACAATGTTAATCCCTATTGCCAGGCTGCTCTGCGACCTATCAGAGGGAAAGCACATTTAGTTGATTATAACAAGGCCTGTGATGATATCAGAGATAATCTACATAAAGCTACTTTGTTGGCACAGGCGACGGCAGGACTGAGAGTGGATAAAGGAAATACTCTATTTCCTGGAGCTTGTTTTAACTGTGGGAAGCATGGTCATACTAAAAAGAATTAAAAAAAAAAAATCAGCAAGTCAGGCCACCAGATAGGTGAAAAAAGAAAACTGCTCATCCTGAAATATGTCTAAAATGTAAAAAAGGAAAACTTTGGGCTAATCAGTGTCACTCTAAGTTTGATAAAGAAGGGAACCCGATTTTGGGAAACTCCCTGAAGGGCCCATCCCAGGCCCTGTTCTAAAACAGGGCATTTCCAGCTCAGGCCATTCCCTCACCCCCATACATTATCTGTCCCCCACCATAGCCCATAGTGCCGCAGTAGATTTATGCTGCACAAAAGCTGTGAGCCTTCTGCCTGGGGAACCCCCGCAAAAGGTCCCAACAGGAGTCTGTGGACCGTTGCCAGGAGGGACAATGGGATTACTTTTAGGAAGGTCTAGTTTAAGTTTAAAAGGGGTACAAATACACACTGGAGTCATTGATTCAGATTACAATGAAGAAATTCAAATTGTGATATCTACTTCTGTTCCCTGGAAAGCACAGCCAGGAGTGTGCATAGCACAGCTCCTGAGTGTGCCATATGTGGGAATGGGAAAAAGTGAAATTAAATGAACTGGAGGATTTGGAAGCACAAATAAAAAAGGCAAGGCAGCTTATTGGGTAAATCAAATTACTGATAAACATCCTATCTGTGAAATAACTATCCAGGGAAAGAACTTTAAAGGTTTGGTAGATACTATTTTTTTTTTTTGGTAGGAGTGGACATTTCAATCATTTCTCTACAGCACTGGCTGTCCATGTGGCCAATTCAGCCCACTCAATTTAACACAGTGGAAACTGCTAAAGCTCCAGAAGTGTATCAAAGTAGATATATTTTGCATTGTGAAGGGCCCGATGGACAACCTGGGACTGTTCAACCAATTGCAATTTCTGTACCTATAAATTTATGGGGGAGAGATTTATTATGACAATGGGGAGCACAAGTTCTAATTCCATAACAATTATACAGCCCTCAAAGTCAACATATGATGCACGAAATGGGGCATGTCCCTGGTATAGGAGTAGAAAAAAATTGCAAGATTTAAAAGAACTGCTTCAAACGGAAAGACAAATTTCCTGCCAAAGATTAGGATACCATTTTTGATGGTGGCCACTGTTAAGCCTCCAGAACCTATACCTTTAAAATGGTTAACAGATAAGCCAATTTGGATAGAATAATGGCTGCTAAGCAAAGAGAAACTGGATGCTTTAGAGAAATTAGTTACTAAACAATTAGAAAATGGGCACATAGCTCCAACATTTTCCCCTTGGAATTCTCCAGTTTTCATAGTTAAGAAAAAATCAGGTAAATGGAGAATGTTAACTGACTTAAGAGCCATCAATTCAGTTATACAACCTATGGAAACATAACAGCCAGGATTGCCTTCTCCTACTATAATTCCAAAAAATTGGCCTTTAATAGGCACAGATTTAAAAGACTGTTTCTTTACTACCCTTTTAGCTGAGCAAGACTGTGAAGGGTTTGCATTTACAATTCCTGCAGTAAACAACCTGCAGCCTGCTAAGCGTTTTCGTTGTTTCACAGATGGGTCTAGTAATGGTAAAGCTTCTTATTCTGGATCAAAAGGTAAAGTTTTCCAGACACCCTATACTTCAGCTCAAAAAGCGGAGCTTGTAGCTGTAAATGAGGTATTGACTGCTTTTGATATGCCTGTTAATGTGATTTCTGATTCTTCATACATGGTTCATTCCACACAGTGAATTGAAAACGCTCAGTTACGATTTCATACAGATGAACAACTGATAATAAAAACAAAAAAAAGGGGAGAAACAGGGATTATGGGATAGCCTATACACAATTGAATCTAGCATTATTAACTTTCAAATTTTTGAGCCTGCCCAAAGGCCAGATGTTACCAGCAGCTGAACAGCATCTACAGAAACCAGCTGCAAAGACAGAAGCAGAATAACTGGTTTGGTGGAGAGACCCAATAACAAAAAGTTGGGAAATAGGTAAAATTATAACTTGGCATAGAGGTTATGCTTGTGTTTCTCCAGGACCGAATCAACAACTGATTTAGATACCATCAAGACACCTGATATTTTATCATGAGTCAGATGCTGAGGAAGAGATAAAAAGCACAATCATCATTGAAATTAGAGCTTCTGGCTGGGCGCGGTGGCTCACGCCTGTAATCCCAGCACTCTGGGAGGCTGAGGTGGGCGGATCACAAGGTCAGGAGATCGAGACCATCCTGGCTAACACGGTGAAACCCCGTCTCTACTAAAAATACAAAAAATTAGCTGGGTGAGGTGGCGGGCGCCTATAGTCCCAGCTACTCAGGAGGCTGAGGCAGGAGAATGGCATGAACCCGGGAGGCAAAACTTCAGGTTTTGCCAAGAATGACACTGTAAATGTAACAAAGCTTCTGTGCTTGTTAGTGAACACCAAATCAGCTACTCTCCTGTATTCGGAGATCAGGATGAAATGAAAAGAACAAGCAGGCCGGGTGCGGTGGCTCATGTCTGTAATGTCAACACTTTGGGAGGCTTAGGTGTGCGGATCACCCGAGGTTGGGAGTTTGAGACCAGCCTGACCAACATGGAGAAACCCCGTCTCTACTAAAAATGCAAAATGAGCTGGGCATGGTGGCACAAGCCTGTAATCCCAGCTTTGGAGGCTAAGGCAGGATAAGTGCTTAAACCTGAGAGGCGGAGGTTGCTGTGAGGCAATATTGCACCATTGCACTCCAGCCTGGGCAAAAAGAGTGAAACTCCATCTCAAAAAAATAAAAAATATAAAAAGACCCCCAACCTTGTCTAGACTGTGGGGTTTCAGTTTCACCCCAGGGGGGTCCTGGTTGGGTTAGAACCCTGAATCTGGTTTGAGTTCGAATCCTAAAGAATAAAGGGAATAAAGGCTGTAGCCACTGAGCTACTCAATCTGGTCTGGTTCTGGCTTTTGTGTGTCTATCTGTATTTTTGGTCTAAATATTTGGCCCAACAGAAGTTAAAGCCTTTGATGTTCTCAGCAAAAGCCTTGTGAGATCTGTAGTTTATCTGTGTGCTCAACTGGAACAAAGAGACTCCATAAACTAGAAAAACCTAAAGAAAATGGCACGCGTGAAAAAATGAGAGCCAACTCCTGTTTGTTGTTCTGTCCACCTCCCTATCTCACTCCTCCTTCTGCCTTTGCTGTGGTCCCTTGGTGTTTCTGTCTTTCTGGGAACCTGAGATTCAGTGTAGGAGTGAAGTCCATGATTTTAAAGCCTTCATGTCTCTGCTTTTTAACTCTGCCTGCTTTGCTGAGCTCTTATAATGAGAAATAAACCATTCAGAACAGAAACAACAGGGCATCAGAAAACCAACTTCAGACAGAGCTCTGGCAAGTACCTCCCTAGAGGGGAAGGGCTTACTAAAGGATTTAATCTTGAAAAGACCAAAACAAGAAGCTCTAACCTTAAGCTTGCTAGGTTTTCTGGGACTCGAGTTGGTTATATATTATGGACCATTCTAGCCACACACACACACACACACACACATACACTTTTTTGAGACAGAGTCTTGCTCTGTTGCCCACGCTGGAATGCAGTGGTGTGATCTTGGCTCACTGCAACCTCCACTTCCCAGGTTCGAGCAATTCTCCTGTCTCAGCCTCCTGAGTAGCTGTGATTACAGGTGTGCGCCACCATACCCGGCTGATTTTTGTGGTTTTAGTAGAGATGAGGTTTCACCATGTTGGCCAGGCGGGTCTCAAACTCCTGATCTCAAGTGATCCACCCGCCTTGGCCTCCCAAACTGCTGGGATTACAGGCATGAGCCACTGTGCCCAGCCTATACATATATATATTTCTTTTTCTTTTTGACACAGAGTCTTGCTCTGTTGCCCAGGATGGAGTATGGTGGTACAATCGCGGCTCACTGCAACCTCCACCTCCCAGGTTTGAGCGATTATCCTGCCTCAGCCTCGTGAATAGCTAGGACTACAGGTGCGCACCACCACACCCAGTTAATTTTTGTATTTACAGTAGAGATGGGGTTTTGTCATGTTGGCCAGGCTGGTCTCAAACTCCTGGCCTCAAGTGATCCACCTGCCTCAGCCTCCCATAGTGTTGGGATTACATGAATGAACCACTGTACCTGGCCTCTAGTGCACACTTTAAACCTGACGGCCAAATTACATGAAAGAAAATTCAAAACTCAAATAGTTACTATTTTTAAAAACCCTAAAATTAAAAAGTCTCAGTTCTTTTGCCTATCATTTTTTTCCCTGCCTACTTTGAATCTGCTGATTTTTCTACTGATGTTGAGACAAGACTTACTGTCTGTGGTGTTACCAATTCAAGGTTACTTGGCTGAAGAAAAACAAAAGAATAAAACAATTCTTTATTTTTTTCTCTTTTTGAGAGAAGTTCTCACTCTGTTCCCGAGACTGGAGTGCAGTAGTGGGATCATAGCTCACTGTTATCTCAACCTCCCAGGCTCAAGTAATCCTCCTGCCTCATCCTCTCTAGTATCTGGGACAATAAGCATGCACCACCATGCCTGACAATTTTTTACCTTATTCTTAGTAGAGATTGGGTCTCACTATGTTGCGCAGGCTGGTCTCAAACTCCTGAGCTCAAGTGGTCCTCTTGCCTCAGCCTCTCAAAGTGCTGGGATACAGACATGAACCACTGTGCCCAGACAAAAGAGTTCTTTTATAAATACAAATAATTTAAAAAGTATTGATAAAATAAAAATAGAAATGTCTTCAGAATTGTCAGCATACATTTTTGACTGTGTTTTATATTTACATTTGTTAGATATTTTAAGGTGCTAGGGTTTGGCATGAAGGTTATAAAGCTGTAAACACAGAAAAAAAGAATATTTGTTTATGTGACTTTTTAAATACATAAGACAAATTTAATAAGGTTTGTTGAACAAAAATAATGGAATTTTCTGAGTTATTGGTAAAATACCCATGTATTTAACTTTGAAGTCCTCACTTACATGAATACCTGATATTCACAGGCTATAACATGGTTAACAAGAAAATAACCTAGAAATGATGACTAGCTTTGTCTAATACCTCAGTTCTCACAAATACTCTAGATAAACTGTCAAAAATAAGTAAATGTAAATGGATAAATGTCTATACAAGACATCTTAATGTATTTTTGAAATTTTTGTGGGACAGTGTCTCTGTCTGTCACCCAGGCTGAAATGCAGTGGCATGATGACAGCTCACTGCAACCTTGAGCTCCTGCACTCAAGGGATCCTCCCACCTCAGCCTCCCAAGTAGCTGTTAATTACAGGCATGCACCACCATGGTCAGCTAACTTTTATTTTTTTTGTAGAGTCAGCATCTCACTATTTTGCTCAGGCTGGTCTCATGATACTCCTGACTTGGCCTCCTAAACTGTTGGGATTACAGGTGTGAGCCACCATGCCCAGCCTATTTTTGAAATTTTAGTTATTTTAAATTAAATAATAGATACTCATTAAATATCCGGGTTATTTCCAATTTAAAACTTATGTTTTAGGCCAGGCACTGTGGCTCATGCTTGTAATCCCAACACTTTGGAAGGCCAAGGTGGGTGGCTCACCCAAGGTCAGGAGCTCAAGATCAGCCTGATCGACATGGTGAAACCCCACCTCTACTAAAAAATACAAAAAATTAGCCAGGTGTGGTGGTGGGTTCCTGTAATCCCAGCTACTAGGGAGGCTGAGGCAGGAGAATTGCTTGAACCTGGGGGGTGGAGGTTGCAGTTAACTGAGATCGCTCCATTGCACTCCAGCCTGGGCAACAAGAGTGAAAATCCATCTTAAAAAATATGTTTTAGGAACACATAATTCTAAATTATGAAATTATTCTCATATGTAAGATACTGCTATATGACAATTCAAGACTTCTTGCTTCCTAGGTTTTTTATTAAAATAAGGGTTACTAAGTGTTAATATCTTGGTAGATATATGTGATTAAGACTACTAGATACAAGAGAAACAATTCTGTATGCAAAATGTATACCGGTTTTTGTTTCAGAGAAAGTAAATTTGCTTAGAGATTTTTAAGGATTATTTTAAATTGAAGGAATAAAAAAGATAGATAAAACTAAATGTGTATAAAAAGTTGGGAAAGATGGAAAAAATATACAAGGTTATTAAACGTTTATGTAAATCTTACCTCGAGGTCAAAACTGATTGAGATCAGATAGACTGTTTATAAAGTTTATTTAAATTAGCTGTAATATTAAAAACATAGTGATAAAAAAACTAAAAATTGTGGTTAAAATAACAAGGTTTTCTTAATGTATTTATTTGCTCATAATAAGAGGTAATAAATATTGACTTTTAATCCTGAAATCTGTTACTATAAAAAGTTTTCAGATTTGTATATCAGAAGTTCAACTTTTCCTGTACTTTCATGTTACACATGACTCACAGATCACATCATTGTCTCCTGTTCCTTCTTGAGAAGGAATAAAAGATTTGGGTTTCCTGCTTGGCTGGGATGATAACTCCTTCAGCTTTTTCATCAGGTCTAATTTTGTACTTTTGGCTTTTAAATATGTCTTAATTACTTCATGTAACCAGGAAACTTCTATGCTATCACTGTGAGCTATGGATCCCCACGGCTCTATGCTCTGGTTTTCCTGTTGACATTCCTCTGTAATATTATGCTCACTCATGATCCTGGACACACTCTTTCTATGTCGAATTAAATTCAAGTCTCCTTGTCATCGGGTTTGACTTCCAAGTGATATAAATTACCTTCCCATAAAAAGAGACAATTATGCCACAGGAGCATTTACCCTTTAAATGACTGGACTGTAATAAAGATTTTAGGTTTTATCAAGATAATCCATGTGTTGCCTTTATTGTTTTTTTAATTCCTTGGGAAAACTGAGGGTTTTCAGTTTTCACATCCATGTAACCTATGTTGCTTTTGATATATTTTGGTTGTCATGCTAATTAAATGAATGACTGTTATTTAAAAATGACACGTGGCTGTGTGCAGCGGCTCATAACTGTAATTCCAGCCCTTTGAGAGGCCAAGGTGGGTGGATCACTTGAGCCCAGGAGTTCAAGTCCAGCCTGGGCAAAATGGCAAAACCCCATCTCTACTAAAAATACAAAAGCTAGCTAGGTGTGGTAGCACGAGCTCATAATCCTGGCTACTTGGGAGACTAAGGTGGAGAATCACCTGAGCCTGGGAGGTTGAGGCTGCAGTGAGCTATGATTTCACCACTGCACTACAGCCTGGGCAACAGGGTGAGACCGTCTCAAAAAAGTAATAAAATAAAAAACAATAAACTGTCATTCTGTTTTGGTCAAATGTTTTCAATTTTTTGACATCTTTGCTAAAACTTAGTTGATAACATTGTATGGGAAGCATTGCCAAAAGATAAGTAACACTAAATCTTTTTTTTCTCTGAGACAAAAATATTGCTTTGTCACCCAGGCTGTAGTGCAGTGGCATGATCTAGATTCACTGCAACCTCTGCCCCAAGGTTCAAGCGATTCTCCTGCCTCATCCTCCCAAGTAGCTGGGACTACAGACACGTGCCACCACACCCAGCTAATTTTGTATTTTTAGTAGAGACAAGGTTTCTCCATGTTGGCCAGGCTGCTGTCGAACTCCTGACCTCTGATGATCTGTCCAATTTGGCTTCCCAAAGTGTTGGGATTACAGGCATGAGCCACTGTGCCTGGCCTAAATCTTCTTTTGGTTACATTTATAGGTATGTTATTAATATAAATATTTTAAATGTTATATAAAGTATAAAAATCTAATATGGCAGAAATCACAATTTTGATGATGTTAAATATTTTCTAAAGTTTTATGTGTATAGATATATTATTACTATATATATTCTAAAGATTATGTAAAATTTGTGGAAGTCTGATGGATTAGATGTGTTGCCGTCAGTCATGATTCTGGCTGTTATCATAAAATGCTACATATAATAGAAGTAACTAAATTTTCTCACCAGTTGAGAACTTCTACTGGATTTTAACCAAAGGCTATTCTAAAATTTTGTCATCCACGTTGATTGTTTTAAGTTCTTCTCTAAAACCCTTTACAGGCCGGGTGCAGTGCTGGAGGCTGTGCAGGGCATGTTGCTAGGCGTGGCACAGGGCACGGTGGCTCACGCTTGTAAATATCCCAGCACTTTGCAAGGCCAAGTTGGGTGAATTGCTGAACTCAGAAGTTTGAAAGCAGCCTGGGCAACATGGTAAAACCCTGTCTCTACAAAAATACAAAAATTAGCCAGGCATGATGGTGCATGCTTATGGTCCCAGCTACTTCGGAGGCTGAGGTAGGAAGATGGCTTGAGTTTGGGAGGGAGAGATTGTGGTGAGCCAAGATCATGCCACTGCACTCCATCCTGAGTGATAGAGCCAAACCATGCCTCAAAAAAAAAGCCTTTACAATCAGCTATCATCTAAATTACTTTTAATGGAAAGGACTCTGACAAGTTCTCTTAAATATGGTTTCTGATAACTTTGGGGATCATACCATTGGACTAGGAAAATCTTCCAGGACTCTGAAAAGCTGAATGAGAACTTCTAATTGAAATCAAGCAAAACACAAAAAAACTGAATGAGAATTGCTATTTGAAATCAAACAGAACAAGATTTAGTTACATGGGAATGAACTCATAAAAGAAGAAAAAGATTTTATTCATGGCCTTTTCATTGGAAACATTGTTGATTCTCTTTATGTTTTGTTTTCCAAAGTCAAGAATTTTTTTTTCTTTTCAGCTATTTTTAACTCACAATACATTAGATAAACTACATTGTGAACAAAAATTTGAGCCATTTATCTGTCTCTCTAACTGATTACTCCAGAATTCAGAAGCCATTAGTGAGCATTCTTAAATTATGGCAATATAATTATTTGCATAATTTCAATATGAATCTGTTTTTGATAACAGGATTCAATTGGAGACACTGTTTGTTTTATCAAGGCTTTAACTCGAATGGCAGATACAACCAGACCACTTTAAGGAATTGAGGTTGACTTTATAGCACCAATACAAAGCCCCTTATAATGACTGGCTTGGTGTCTTGTCTACAAGGGTCCTTTATATTCACTGTCCTTCTGGTAAGAAGTAAAGAATGTCACTTTCTGACGGGCCTAGGAACCTCAAGATATTTGGGGACCTTGAGAAGAGAGGACTACACTCATTCATAAAAGTATTACAGGAGAGCTGGCAAGATGTCTGAGTAGGAAGAGCTCTGGCCTGCGGCACCTAGTGAGATCAACACAGAAGGCAGGTGGTTCATGCATTTCCAACTGAGCCTCCACTGGTGATACCCAGGCAAAAAGGGTCTGGAGTGGACCTCCAGCAAACTCGAGCAAACCTGCAGCAGAGGGACCTGACTGTTAGAAGGAAAACTAACAAACAGAAAGGAATAGTATCAACAGCACCAACATCAAAGACCAAAGGTAGATAAATCCACAAAGATGGGAGAAACCAGTGCAAAAAGGCTGAAAACTCCAAAAGCCAGAATGCATCTTCTCCTCCAGAAGATCACAACTCCCCGCCAGCAAGGGAACAAAACTGGACAGACAATGAGTTTGACGAATTGACAGAAGTAGGCTTCAGAAGGCGGGTAATAACAAACTCCTCCGAGCTAAAGGAGCATGTTCTAACTCAATGCAAGGAAGCTAAGAACCTGAAAAAAAAGGTTAAATGAATTGTTAACTAGAATAACCAGTTTAGAGAAGAACATAAATGACCTGATGGAGCTGAAAAACCCAGCACAAGAACTTCATGAAGCATACACAAGTATCAATAGCTGAATCAATCAAGCAGGAGAAAGGATATCAGAGATTGAAGATCAACTCAATGAAATAAAGCAAGAAGACAAGATTAAAGAAAAAAGAGTGAAAAGAAATGAACAAAGCCTCCAAGAAATAGAGGACTATGTTAAAAGACTGAATCTACGTTTGACTGGTGTACCTGTAAGTGACAGAGAGAATGGAACCAAGTTGGAAAACACTCTGCAGGATATTATCCAGGAGAACTTCCCCAACCTAGCAAGACAGGCCAACATTCAAATTCAGGAAATACAGAGAACACCACTAAGACACTTCTCAAGAAGAGCAACCCCAAGACACAAAATCATCAGATTCACCAAGGTTGAAATGAAGGAGAACATATTAAGGGCAGCCAGAGAGAAAGGTTGAGTTACCCACAAAGGGAAGCCCATCAGACTAACAGTGGATCTCTTGGCAGAAAGCCTACAAGCCAGAAGAGAGTGGGGGCCAATACACAACATTCCTAAAGAAAAGAATTTTCAAGCCAGAATTTCATATCCAGCCAAACTAAGCTTCATAATTGAAGGAGAAATAAAATCCTTTACAAGCAAATGCTGAGAGATATTGTCACCACCACGCCTGCCTTACAAGAGCTCCTGAAGGAAGCACTAAACACGGAAAGGAACAACTGGTAACAGCCACTGCAAAAACATACCAAATTATAAAGACCATTGACACTATGAAAAAACTTCATCAACTAATGAGCAACATAACCAGCTAGTATCATAATGACAGGATCAAATTCACACATAACAATATTAACCTTAAATGTAAATGAGCTATATGTCCCCAGTTGAAAAACACAGACTGGCAAATTGGATAGAGTCAAGACCCATCAATATGCTGCATTCAGGAGACCCATCTCATACACATAGGCTCAAAATAAAGGGATGGAGGAACATTTACCAAGCAAGTGGAAAGCAACAAAAGGCAGGGGTTGCAATCTTAGTTTCTGATAAAACAGACCTTAAGCCAAGAAAGATCAAAAGAGACAAAGAAGGGCATTACATAATGGTAAAGGGATCGATGAAACAAGAAGAGCTAACTATCCTAAACATATATGCACCCAATACAGGAGCTCTCAGATTCATAAAGCAAGTTCTTAAAGACCTACAAAGAGACTTAGACTCCCACACAATAATAGTGGGAGACTTTAACACTCCACTGTCAATATTAGATCAATGAGACGGAAAATTAACAAGCATATCCAGGACTTGAACTCAGCTCTGGACCAAGTGGACCTAAAAGATATCTACAGAACTCTCCACCCCAAATCAACAGAATATACCTTCTTCTCAGCACCACATTGCACTTATTCTAAAATTGACCACATAATTGGAAGTAAAACACTCCTCAGGAAATGCAAAAGAACGGAAATCATAACAAACAGTCTCTCAGACCACAATGCATTCAAATTAGTATGCAGGATTAAGAAACTCACTCAAAACCTCACAACTACATGGAAACTGGGCAACCTGCTCCTGAATGACTACTGGGTAAATAACGAAATGAAGGCAGAAATAAAGATGTTCTTTGAAACCAATGAGAACAAAGACACAACGTCCCAGAATCTCTGGGACACATTTAAAACAGTGTGTAGAGGGAAATTTATAGCACTAAATGACCACAAGAGAAAGCAGGAAAGATCTAAAATTGACACCCTAACATCAAAATTAAAAGAACTGGAGAAGCAAGGACAAACAAATTCAAAAGCTAGCAGAAGACAAGGCATAAATAAGATCAGAGCAGAATTTAAGGAGACAGAGACACGAAAAACCCTTCAAAAAATCAATGAATCCAGGAGCTGTTTTTTTTCGAAGATCAACAAAACAGACCACTAGCCAGACTAATGAAGAAGAAAAGAGAGAAGAATCAAATAGATGCAATAAAAAATGATTAAGGGGATATCACAACTGATCCCACAGAAATACAAATTATCATCAGCGAATACTACCAAGACTAAACCAGGAAGAAGTCAAATTCCTGAATAGACCAGTAACAAGTTCTGAAATTGAGACATTAATTAGAGCCTACCAACCAAAAAATGTCCAGGACCAGACAGATTCACAGCTGAATTCTATGAGAGGTACAAAGAGGAGCTGGTATCATTCCTTCTGAAACTATTCCAAACAATAGAAAAAGAGAGAATCCTCCCTAACTCATTTTATGAGGTCAGCATCACCTTGATACCAAAACCTCGCAGGGACACAACAATAAAAGAAAATTTTAGACCAATATCCCTGATGAATATCGATGCAGAAATCCTGAATAAAATACTGGAAAACTGAATCCAGCAGCACATCAAAAAGCTTGTACACCATAATCAAGTCGGCTTCATCCCTGGGATGCAAGGATGGTTCAACATATGCAAATCAATAATTGTAATCTATCATATAAAGGGAACCAATGACAAAAACTACATGATTATCTCAATAGATGCAGAAAGGGCCTTTGACAAAATTCAACAGCCCTTCATGCTAAAAACTCTCAATAAACTGGTATTGATGGAACGTATCTCAAAATAATAAGTGCTATTTATGACAAACCCACAACCAATAACATACTGAATGTGCAAAAACTGGAAGCATTCCCTTTGAAAATCAGCACAAGACAAGGATGCCCTCTCTCACTACCCCTATTCAACATAGTATTGGAAGTTCTGGCCAGGGCAATCAGGCAAGAGAAAGAAATAAAGGGTATTCAATTAGGAAAAGAGGAAGTCGAATGGTCTCTGTTTGCAGATGACATGATTGTATATTTAGAAAACCCCATCATCTCAGCCCAAAATCTCCTTAAGCTGATAAGCAACTTCAGCAAAGTTTCAGGATACAAAATCAATGTGCAAAAATCACAAGCACTCTTATACAGCAATAACAGACAAACAGAGAGCCAAACTGTGAGTGAACTCCCATTCACCATTGCTATAAAAAGAATGAAATACCTAGGAATACAACTTACAAGGATGTGAAGGACCTCTTCAAGGAGAACTACAAACCACTCCTCAAGGAAATAAGAGAGGACACAAACAAATGGAAAATCATTCCATGCTCATAGATAGGAAGAATCAGTATCGTGAAAATGGCCATACTGCCCAAAGTAATTTATAGATTCACTGCCATCCCCATTAAACTACCATTGACTTTCTTCACGGAATTGGAAAAACATACTTTAAATTTCATGTGGAATCAAAAAAGAGCCCGAACAGCCAAGACAATCCTAACCAAAAAGAACAAAGCTGGAAGCATCATGCTACCTGACTTCAAACTATAATACAAGCTACGGTAACCAAAACAGCATGGTACTGGTACCAAAACAGAGATATAGATCAAAGGAACAGAAAAGAGGCCTCAGAAATAACACCACACATCTACAACCGTCTGATCTTTGACAAACCTGAGAAAAACAAGCACTGGGGAAAGGATTCCCTATTTAATAAATGGTGTTGGGAAAACGGGCTAGCCATAGGCAGAAAGCTGAAACTGGATCCCTTTCTTACACCTTATACAAAAATTAACTCAAGGTGGATTAAAGACTTAAACATAAGACCTAAAGCCATAAAAACCCTAGAGGAAAACCTAGGCAATACCATTCATGGCATAGGCATGGGCAAAGACTTCATGACTAAAACACCAAAAACAAAGGCAACAAAAGCCAAAATTGACAAATGGGACCTAATTAAAATAGAGAGCTTCTGGACAGCAAAAGAAACTATCAGAGTGAACGGGCAACCTACAAAATGGGAGAAAATTTTTGCAATCTATCCATCTGACAAACAGCTAATATCCAGAATCTACAAAGAACTTAAACAAATTTACAAGAAAAAACAACCTCATTGAAAAGTGGGCGGAGGATGTGAACAGACACTTCTCAAAAGAGGACAATTATGCAACCAACAAACTTATGAAAAAAAGTTCATCATCACTAGTCATTAGAGAAATGCAAATCAAAACTACAGTGAGATACCATCTCATGCCAGTTAGAATGGCAATCATTAAAGAGTCAGGAAACAACAGATACTGGAGAGGGTGTGGAGAAATAGGAAGGCTTTTACACTGTTGGTGGGAGTGTAAATTAGTTCAACCATTGTGGAAGACAGTGTGGCTATTCCTCAAGGATCTAGAACTAGAATTACCATTTGGCCCAGCAATCCCATTACTGGGTATATACCCAAAGGATTATAAATCATTCTACTACAAAGACACATGCACATGTATGTTTATTGCAGGACTGTTCACAATAACAAAGACTTGGAACCAACCCAAATGCCCATCAATGATAGACTGAATAAAGAAAATGTGGCACATACACACCATGGAATACTATGCAGCCATAAAAAAGGATGAGTTCATGTCCTTTGCAGGGACATGGATGAAGCTGGAAACCATCACTGTCAGTAAACTAACACAAGAACAGAAAACCAAACACCACATATTCTCACTCATAAGTGGGAGTTGAACAATGGGAACACATGGACACAGGGAGGGGAACTTCACACACTGGGGCCTGTTGGGGGGTGGGGGCAGGGGGAGGGATAGCATTAGGAGAAATACCTAATATAGGTGATGGGTTGATGGGTGCAGCAAACCACCACAGAACATATATACCTATGTAACAAACCTGCACATTCTGCAAATGTACCCCATAACTTAAAGTATTATTTAAAAAATGTAGGTTAAAAAAATTATTACAGACATAGTCTGATGCAAATCTTTGACTTGGCTAGCTTCAAGGCTCTTAAAAGTCTAAGATTCCTTATTAAAAATTTCCAACAAAGCCAATTTTAAGAAGTCCGTATGGCCAATAAATATTCTTGATGCACTTTATGGAAATAATCAGGCCAGGTATGATAAGACTAAAACTTATTTTGCATACAAATTGGTCCTACTATGATTTGTCTTTGATAAAATGATGGACTAGAGAGAAAATTTATGTTCCAAAAGAAAATTATGGCATATGCTATTAGATTCCAACCCTGATGATTGTTTTAGAGTTTTTATTATTTGCTATAATTTCGGCTGAATCCTGAATTATTTCCTGGCTCCAACTGTTCCCTAGTGAATCTGAATATAATATAATTTTAAAAACTTGTTTTATCCTGTCAGGAATGAGATGTATTTTTGAAGGACTACTCAAACTTGCAATTACAATTCGATTATTATGATTATAGAATCTCGGGATTTCTCTTCCTTCTTGTCAAGGTCTTTACCTGATGTTTGTCTCATTAAAAAAAATGAGACTGATTACACTCTACTCAAGACTGAAGACGTGTACTTTAACCTATCTCTGTTACCTGTAAACAAAAGCCTTAACTTTCAGAATCTGTCAGGGACCCTGTGTGGTCCCTGGATCAACCACCCATGGGCTTATGAATGTATTGACCGCTGGCATATGAGAAGTAATTGTCTATTAGGTTATGTGACTCTTCTTCTTTCTGTTTATAACTCCAATGTTTCTGAACACTGAAGTAGTTCATCGAATTTATTTTCCAGGATTAGACAAACCATACCTGCAAACCAAGGAGATGAATTTTATCCTATGTTTGGCAGAAGTCGCTTGCAATGGTGAGGAGTAACCTCTCATGAACATATAATTAGAAATCTGTCAACCACTGTAGGTAACTTAGCAAATGAACTAGCTGAAGCCATAGCTACCAAACAAAGATCTTTAGACTCCTTAGCCAGGATAGTCATGGATGACGGAATAACTTTAGGCTACATAGTGGTGAAACAGGGAGAAATTCATATGGCAGCTAGCTAACACATCATGTTTTGTTTAAATCCGTACATCTTCTGAAGTTGAAACACATGTAAAAAAATAAGACAATATGGGAATTAATTATGACAAATCCTAGGGAAGAGGCTGAAAGAGCTGTAACACAAACAGGGCTGAGACATGCCCCTTGCTTGCCACATTGTGGGCAAAGAGAAGGAAAGAAGAGCCGTGACCCTTTGGGAAGCCTGACCTGGGAGCTCCCTGAGCCAGGGCTGTGATTCCTTCTTTGGGGCCCTGTGGTTCCTGGTATCTCCAAGCTTCTGGGTTCCACTGTGTTCCCAATGTGCCAGCTGTGGAAGCTGCTTGAGGTGCCCGTGGTCCAGCCATAGCCTTGTGGAGAGCTGGCGCCCGTGTTGGCACCTGGAGCTACCTGCCCCACTGCAGCAGCCAGCAAGTCTGACTGCACAATGGCCAGACCCCATGCTCGCTCACACACACCTTGCCACTCCATGCAGTCTCCCTTGGCAAACATGGGATCCCACCTGGTAGCATGAGCTGAGCACAGCCTGCCAGGCTGAGTGGGCGGGAACCAAGCAAAACTCAGGTAAAGGTGCCACCAGCCATAGAGGTTTCTGTCCAGAAAAGTGACACTCCAAAGATCCCGTAACACCGCTACTCTTCTCAGACTCTGGAAACTCTCAGTCTACTCTCTATCTTTCTGAGTTCAATTGTTTAATTTTTAGCTCCCACAAATGAGTGAGAACATGCAAAGTCTGTCTTTCTGTGCCTGGCTCATTTTACTTAACATAATGTCCCCTAGTTCCATCCACGTTGTTGCAAAGGAGAGAATCTTATTCTTTTTCATGGCCGAAGAGTACTCCATTGTGTGTATGTACTACATTTTCTTTATCCCTTCATCTGTTGATGCACACCTAGGTTGCTTCCAAATCTTGGTTATTATGAATAGTGCTGAAATAAATATGGGAATGCAGATATCTCTTTGATATACTAATTTTCCCTCCCTTGGGTATATACCCAGCAGTGGGATTGCTGGATCATATGATAGTTCTAATCCTTTTTTAATTTTTTGAGGGACCTCCATATTGTTCTCCATAGTGAGTGTACTAATTTACATTCCCACCAACAGAGTAAGAGGGTTCTCTTTTCTCCACATTCTTGCAAGCATTTGTTATTGCCTGTCTTTTGCATAAAAGCCATTTTAATGGGGGTAAGATGATATCTTATTGTAGTTTTGATTTGAATTTCTCTGATGATCAATGATATTGAGCATCTTTTCATATACCTATATGAGATTTATATATCTTCTTCTTTGTTTTTGCTCATATTTTGAGACAGGGTCTCACTCTGTCACCCAGGCTGGAGTGCAGTGGTATGATGATGGCTTACTGTAGTTTTGACTACCAGGGTTCAAGCAATCCTCCCACCTCAGCCTCCTGAGTAGCTGGGACCACAGGCATGCATCACCATGCCCAGGTAGGTTTTAAAATTATTTGCTATGTTTTTCAGGTTGGTCTTGAGCTCCTGGGCTCAAGTGGTCCACCTGTCTTGGCTCCCAAAAGTGCTGGAATTGCAGGTGTGAGCCACTGCGCCTGACCTGTTTGCCTTCTTTTGAGAAATGTCTGTTCGGATCTTTTGCCCATTTAAATAATTGGATTATTAGTTTTTTTCTTATAGAGTTGTTTGAACTCCTTATATATTCTGGTTATTAATCCCTTGTCAGATATATAGTTTGCAAATATTTTCTTCCATTCTGTGGATTGTCTTTTCACTTTGTCCATTGTTTTCTTTACTATGCAGAAATTTTTGAACTTCATGTGATACCATTTGTTCATTTTTGCTTTGGTTGCCTGAGCTTTTGGAGTATTACTCAAGAAATCTGTGCCCAGACCAATTTCCTGGAGAGTTTCCCTAATGTTTTCTTTCAGTAGTTTCGTGTCCTTGACTTAAGTCTTTAACCCATTTGGATTTGATTTTTCTATATAGCACAAGAGAGGGTTCTAGTTTAATTATTCTGCCAATTAAATTATTCAGCCTCAGACTTTGGGAGGCCCGGGTGGGGAGATCATGAGGGCAGGAGATCAAGACCATCCTGGCTAACACGGTGAAACTACGTCTCTACTAAAAATACAAAAAAAAAAAAATTAGCGGGCATGATGGGGGCACCTGCACTCCCAGCTACTTGGGAGGCCGAGGAGGAGAATGGTGTGAACCCAGGAGGTGGAGCTTGCAGTGAGCCCAGATTGCACCACTGCACTCCAACCTGAGCAACAGAGCTAGACTCCATCTCAAAAAATAAAAAAATTATTCTACCAATGAATATTTAGTTTTCCCAGAATAATTTGTTGAAGAGACTGTTCTCTCCCCCATGTATATTCTTGGCACCTTCATTGAAAATGAGTTAGTTGTAAATGTAAGGATTTATTTCTGGGTTCTCTATTCTGTTCCATTGGTCTATGTCTCTGTTTTATGCCAGTACCAAGCTGTTTTGTTTACAATTGCTCTGTAGTATAATTTAACGTCAGGTGATGTGATTCTTCCAGTTTTGTTCTTTTTGCTAAGGATGACTTTTGGTATTCTGGGTCTTTTATGGTTTCATATAAATTTTAGGATTTTTTTTCTTTTTCTGTGAAGAATGTTATCAGTATTTCAATAGGGATTGCATTGAATCTGTAGATTGCTTTGTGAAGTATGTGTATTTTAACAATATTTACTCTTCCAATCAATGAACATGGACTATCTTTCCATTTTTTGGTGTCTTCTTTAATTTTTTTGCATTGGTGTTTTATAGTTTTCATGATAGATATCTTTCACTTCTTTTGTTACGTTTATTCCTAGATATTTTATTTATGTGTAGCTATTGTAAATGGGATTATGTTCTTGATTTTCTTCTTTAGATTGTTCATTTTTGGCATTTAGAAATACTACTGATTTTTGTAGTTTGATTTTGTATCGTGTGACTCTGAATTTGTTGATCAGTTCTAATAGTTTTTTGGTGGAGTCCTTAGGTTTTTCCAAATATAAGATCAAATCACCTGCAAACAAGAAAACAATAATAATTTTACTTCTTTCAATTTGGATGCCCTTTATTCTTTTTCTCTTTTCTGGATTGCTCTAGCTAGGACTTCCAGTACTATGTTGAGTAACAGTGTTGGAAGTGGACATTCTTGCCTTGTTCCAGATCTTAGAAGAAAGGCTTTCAGTTTTTCTCTGTTCCGGATGATACTGGCTGTTGGTCTGTTGCATATGGTTTTTATTGTGTTGTGGTATGTTCCTTCTAAATCTAGTTTTTTTTTTAGGGTTTCTTTTTATCACAGGGATGTTGGATTTTATTAAATCGTTTTCAGCATCAGTTGAAATTACCATATGGTTTCTGTCCTTCATTCTGTTGATATGATGTGTCACATTGATTGATTTACATATGTTGAACCATGTTGGCATTCTTGGGGTAAATCCCACTTAGACATGATGAATGGTCTTTTTCATAGAATGAGTATGGTAATACTACAGTCTTCTTTGTTTTTTGGAATAGTTTGAGTAGGATTGATAGTAATTCTTCCTTCAATGTTTGGTAAAATTAATCAGTGAAGCCATTGGATCCAGACTTTTCTTTGCTAGGAGATGTTTTATTATGGGTTCAATCTCATTTATCCATTTCTTCTAGGTTTGTTTTTTAGTTGTTTTTGTTTTTTTGTGGGTTTTTTTTTGTTTTTTGTTTGTTTGTTTGTTTTTTGAGATGGAGTCTTGCACTGTCACCCAGGCTGGAGCTTGGTACAATGTCAGCTCACTGCAACTTCTGCCTCCCAGGTTCAAATGATTCTCCTGCCTCAGCCTCTGGAGTAGCTGGGAGTACAGGTGCACACCACCATGCCTGGCTAACTTTTGTATTTTTAGTAGAGATGGGGTTTCACCTTGTTGGCCAGCCTGGTCTTGAACTCCTGACCTCAGGTGATCACCTACCTTGGCCTCCCAAAGTGTTGGGATTACAGGCATGAGCCATGGTGCCTGGTCATTATTTGCAGGTTTATCAATTTATTGGAATATAGTTGGTCATAATAGTTTCTAATGATTCTTTGAATTTCCGCAGTATCAGTTGGAGTGTCTCCTTTTTAATCTCTGGTTTTATGTATTTGAGTCTTCTCTCTTTTTTCTTAGTCTGGCTAAATGTTTGTTGATTTTGTTGGTCTTTAAAAAAAATTAACTTTTCATTTCATTGACATTTTATATTTTTAAATTTCAATTTAATTTATTTCTGCTCTGATCCTTACTATGTTTCCTTCTGCTAATTTTGGTTTTGGTTTGCTCTTGCTTTTCTAATTATTTAAGATGCATTATTAGGTTGTTTATCTGAAGTTTTTCTACTTTTTTTGATGGAGGTGCTTTTTGCTATAAACTTACTTCTTAGTACTGTTTTTACTGTATCCCATAGGTTTGTTTTTTGTTTTTTGTTTTTTGTATTTTTTTTTTAAGAGAGAGTCTCGCTCTGTTGCCCAGGCTGGAGTGCAGTGGTGCAATCTTGGCTCACTACAAGCTCTGCCTTCTAGGTTCACGCCATTCTCCCGCCTCAGCCTCCCGAGTAGCTGGGACTACAGGTGCCCACGACCATGTCCGGCTAATTTTTGTTTTTTGTATTTTTAGTAGAGACGGAGTTTCACCGTGTTAGCCAGGATGGTCTCGATCTCCTGACCTCGTGATCTGCCCGTCTCAGCCTCCCAAAGTGCTGGGATTACAGGCATGAGCCACTGCACCCGGCCTGTATCCTATAGGTTTTGTTTTGACTTTAAAGTTTTTCTTTTCTCAAAAACTCAATGCCATGGTACCGGCTTCTAGTGCTTTTGGCAGTGAGCCCCTTTTACTTGATAACAGTGGTAGCTGGGAAAACTTGGCAATGTAAATAAATACACGGCATCTAGATTGGAAAGGAAGAAGTACAGTTATCTTTATGTACGGATGACGTGATCTTGCATTTAGAAAATCATAAGAAATTTACTAAAAAGTATTAGGACTCATGAACAAATTTAGGAATGTAATACTATATAAGATTGGTATAGAAAAATAACTGTATTTCTTTACCAAGAAATCTTGAATCCAAAAATGGAATTTCAAACATAAATCTTGTTACAATAGAATTAAAACTGGGGTAAATTTAACATAAGAAGCTTAAACTTGAACACTAAAAACTACAATACATGGTTAGTGTTGGAAACACCCAGGTACCATCCTTGAGCCTTCTCTCCTTGGCTCTGAGGACTTTACCTTCACGGGGTGAGGAAAGGTGTTGCATTCTTGACTTTTACATTATATTAGGTGGGTTCGGGGTGAGGTATCTGCAAGCCAAATGAGTATTACAATCTCTACTTTTATGTATAAGAGACTGCGGCCCACAAAGAGAGGGAATGACAATCCATATCCTGGAAGGCGAATTGTCAGACACTGATTTCCCCTATGTAAACCCTGCCAATCATCTTGTATTTAAAGGATCCCCAGATACCTTACCAATAGGTGTTCAAGAGAGAGGCCGGTAAATCTAGGCGTCTGAGACAAGGCTAAAGATTCCAATATTGGAGACAACAGGGCTCTGGGAAGATTAAGGTTGAGTTTTCTGGATCTGCAGAATAGAGTCACTGAGGACCAATTGCAAGATCAGAGGAGATGAAAGAACAAGTCAGAGCATGCTTAGGAAAAGAGAAAACCAGGGATAGGTTTTAGGCAAGAGTCACACTGAGGAAGTGCAGGTTCTTGGCGTTGCTCAGGATGAAATCCAAAAGCAAGCCTGTGGTGGAAGAAAGCAGCTCTATGGAGGCATTGGCGGTGTTACAGCCCTGCGTCCCCTCCGGCAGGGCAGGGAGCCCTCCGTGGGTTGTGCTCCCAGAGTAGCAGCCTAGGGGTGGCTTGTAGTCATTTCTATAATTCACTTTTAATGGCATGCTAATTAAGGGGCGGGTTACTCAGAAACAGCTAGAAATGAACAGTAACTTCCAGCTGTTTCCATGGCAAGGGGTGGGGACTTCCCGTGCTGCCATGGCATTGGCAAACTGTCATGGCGCTGGTGGGAGCATCTTCTGGTGATCTAAGGCGTGAGGTGCTTTCGCTGCCTCTCCCAGTTTCCTGAGTGCCTCTTACCTGAAACCCCTTCACACCCCCATCTACCCACCTACAAACTTCACTGCCCTTTCACCCCACCCCCGTTTCACATGCACTCCTACATCAACCTGGAGCATCCAAGCCAGCAATTTCCCTGTTAGGAACCTCGGTGATAGCCGGAGCTCTGAGAAACCCCTAGGCAGAACTCCTTGCCTAGTTTGTGGCAGACATCAGGGAAGGAAAGGCAAAGTTCTAGTCTTTCTCACAATAAATAAATAAAGATAGGTAGATTTGATTGTTTGTTGGATGGATGAAACGTGGGAGTTTATGGGCAAATATTTATCAGACACTGGAAGTGTAAGTTGTCACAAAGATTATGGAGTGCACCTGTCTTATGACCTTGTTATTTTATCCTACTATACACACCAGAGCATTTTTCCTAACTGTGTAAATTGAAGGCTCACAAATTAGTTTAGTGAGAAAAAAGAAAACAGATTGGAAGAGAATTACTGTATTAATTAGTTGTGTTTTTAAAATTTAAAGTAAAATAGAGACATGATTTTTTTCATGCTTTCGAATGCATCTATAAAAAATAGACTTGAGGGCTGGGCGTGGTGGCTCACGCCTGTAATCCCAGCACTTTGGGAGGCTGAGGAGGGCAGATCACGAGGTCAGGAGTTCGAGACCAGCCTGACCAACGTGGTGAAACCCGTCTCTACTAAAAATACAAACATTAGGCGAGTGTGGTGGTGCCCACCTGTAATCCCAGCTACTCAGGAGGCTGAGGGAGGAGAATTGCTTGAACCCGGGAAGCGGAGGTTGCAGTGAGCCGAGATCGCACCATTGCACTCCAGCCTGGGTGACAGAGCGAGACTCTGTCTCAAAAAAAAAAAAAAGTTACTCATTAATAGCATAGACCAATTGGCATCTATTGAAATTTCTCCATTATTTTCACAATGTCTCAGGCTGTGAAACCAGGATTTAATAAAGAACCAGAATGCCACAAATGTGTCACCTGGGTAGGGACCAGTCCTGATCCATTAAGTCCGGGTCTCTGGGTAACTGGACTCACAGCTGGGCAAAGCAGAATGTCCGGCATGCGTTCGTAACAGGGGAACGCAGAGCCTCATGGGAAATGTAGTGTCACCTTCCAATGATGTTACCATGAAGGACCTTGGGAACCAGTTTTTCTCTCTGCTCATGCGCTGCCCCGCCCACTCCACCATTTTCCTCCGGAAGTGCTCAACCCAGAGGCGGTCCTGAGGCTGGGCAGGCATGCGGCTTGGTTCTATGTCCCTATGGGTCTGTGTGAGGCCGAAGAGGAACCCGTGGGCCTCGGGGGATCCCGGGGGGCCGGACCAGTGTTCCCCAGTTGTGGGAGCAGACGCGTGGGCGCATCGCAGGCGAGCGAGGCCTGACGTGCCGGTGCGGGCCGCAGACAGTGGCAGGTGCTGGGAGGACACGCTTGGGGTCCCGGCAGTGAAGCGGGTTTCAGAGGCCCAGGAGCACGTAGTCAAGGCCGGTGGCCCTGGGCCCGGAGTCTGCAGGCCACGCTCCTGTCTTGCTGCTGAGGGACCTGGTTACCAACTCGCATGTCACTCAGTTTGCCCATCTGTCCCAGTGCTAACACACAGTTCTCGGGAGACTTTCCCCATTTCCAGAGTAGTAGTGTGAAATGCGTGCACCTCTAGTCTTAAAATTGGCGTTTGTATTAGTTGGGTTTCCTGGTGTCTCTTTAGCAAGTGAAATTTCTTGTTCCCTCCTTCACTGTGTGACCTGCCTAGTCCTCCTGGGTTGCATTTACAGAAGTTTATACGAGACCTAGTTTCCAGGGAAGAACTCACTGATTCCACGAGGGAGATGGGGTAATGGATGATGGTCTTCAGCCTTAAGGGTACTTCAGTCTTAACTGTGTGTTACAAAGCTTGAAATGGAGGGTTCCCTATGAATAAGAAGTGCACTTGAAAGAACAGCCATCTGGTCTAACCTCTCACTGGTGTTTCAGAGGAGGAAAAAAGGTCACAGGTGAAGATCCCAGTTTTCCTCTCTCAGGAAATATTAATTCTACTCCCTATAATGCACAAGAATTGCAAAGACTAGGTGATGGTAGAAGGTTTGGACGAACTTTCAGAAAGTTGAGGTGAATTCAGCTGAGAAGAACAGGCAAGGACCTAGGAAATATTCCTTATTTGAAGGGGCCTGAAAGTGTGGTCTGTGGTACAGGAGTGACCTGTCATACCTGAGAAGATTAAAATACTCTCCAAACGCAGTCCCATTCCTTCAAACTTAGCTCGTTGTTTCCAGCGTCTGAGATATATTAAACCTAGTCCATCACCAGATTTAGCATTAGATTGTGAAGTTCTATTGATTGTATTTGATTTTTAATTTAAGATTTTCTCCCCCTACGTAATTTTGTTAAAAACACAGAAGTGAATTCTGTTCACTTAGGTGTAACAGTTAATACTTGCTGTTTAAAGAACTAATTAAACCTTACTGGCTTATTAAAAAACAACCTCCATTTTATTTGTTTGAAGTTCTGTGGATCTGCATTTTGGTGTGGTGGGTTCAGCTGGGTAGTTGATATATTTGTGTTGCCTGGATCACAGAAGAGCCCTTAGTCACCTGGTGCCTTGACTGAGCCTGGTTGGTTTAAGATAGTTTCCTTCACAATCTGGTGGTTTGTGGTGACTCTTGGCTAGGCCCTGTGTCTCCAACAGGGTAGCTCCAGACCTCTTCACAGTATGACTGTGTCCAAAATGGCAAGAACCAATGGATATTTGCATCACATTTTCCATTGTCCATTCACTGGACAAGTCAGATGGAAAAGCCCAATTTATTGTCAGAGCATAATATGAGGGCTTGGATAGAAGGAAAGGTGTTATTGGGAAACATGAGTAGAATGGTGTACTGCAGGAAGTACATATTATGTACATTTTAAAAAACATAATTGTAGGCCAAAATTGCTGGTTTGCAAGATGCACTTTCCATGATGTTCAGGTATAGAAAAGCAAGATGTACTGTCATGGGAACACTCATATGAAGTTATTTGTGGAATCCACATATTAATAGGAAAATAGTTAATACAGCCCAGTATATTGCTATAACATTTATTTTAGTGAACTTATAATGTTTCTTTGTATTAAATTATTAGATTATATATTTAGGTAATATTGTTGCTAAATTAGTAGGTAATACATAGTTTTATTCAAAAATAAATTGTGCATCTAATGTCTACCAGTTAATGTACTTGTAGATGTATCTCATCTTAACTTGAGTCTTTCTTGCCCCTAATGGGGCGTGAAGGACTCTTCTCCCATGGGGAAGTTTTTCTTTTTCAGGAGGGAGGAGGGCTTTCCCAGGTAATGTGTCTAGAGTGTTGGGCAGAAGAATATTGGACCACACCACACCAGTTCTCTCCTTAATCCACGTCATTTGTCTTCTCTCCCAGCTATGTTTCCAGTGTCCTGTGGGTGTTTCCAAGAGCAATAAGAAACGAATAAATCTCTGGTGAGTTGTTTATTTGTTCTTCACTTTGTTTTACACTGTATTTTCTGAGTTTATGGGTGTCTGTGAATTAAAAAGGAAAAGTAGAAATAAGTAAAATTCAGCTTGAAGAAAATATACATAAATAAGTTAAAGCTGACCTGTAGATACAGGCAGGTTATAAGAGCTTAGAGTTGTCTAAGTTGAGTGCAAATTTTCCTCTGAACTTTCTGATGCCGAGACAAAAAAGGCAGTCATGTTTGTTATGTGATTGGAATGGAACCCGAGAAGAGAGCATGCTGTGTTCTTGTGGGACAGGAAAGCTTATGTGCACTAAGTCTGAACCACCACCTTCATTGGTGACATAGATTATGTGCTGGAACATATTTCACACCAGGCTGGCAGTAAACACTTGTAGTGTTGTGTAGTGGAAATGGTCATCTGCCGCTAAAGCACAGCTTCCATCGTAAAGTATGCTCCTTGCTCAAAGAGTGTGGTCCCAAACAGCTTTTGGGGGGTCCTCCTTGATTCATGGATGAAACCTGGAACATCTTGAGGATTGAGTTAACCATAGGTCCTTAAATAACTCTCCACACCTTTTTCTTAGTTTATCTCTACATGCAGGGTGTGAAGCAGCCTGTTCAAAGTCATATTTTCTGGGAAATATTTCCAGTGTTTATTTGCACTTTAGCCCACTCGGTGTAGTCTTATTTCTTCTAAACTCACCATTAACCTAAATAATAGTCAAATTTAGGGGACTGTATTTGCCTTGTTCGAGTCTTCTACCATAGTTGAAACTGTCGTACTCGAGTGAGTTAGAGAGAAACGCCACACTTTGAGACGAATTCAGGAGTCCTTTATTAGCCAGCGACTGAGAGACTGCTAACGCACGAAATTCTCTCAGCCCCAAAGAAGGGAATAGATTTTCTTTTATACTTTGGTTTAGAGAGGGGAGGGGCAATTCTAGCTGCAGCAACTTTACAGAAGAAAAAAACAGACAAAAAAGTTAAAAAGACAGATGGTTACAGGAAAACAAACTGTTCCAGGTGCAGGGGCTTTAAATTCACCACAAAGTGATAGGTCAGGGGGCTCTGGGCATTATCTGCCGGAAAAATGTGGGGGCTTTATGATACTATCTCTGAATAAATTGCTGGGAACTGGGGACATCGCTTGCCTCAGCACTTTGTCAGTTAATTGCACTCTTTGATATGTTGAAAATCAGCTTGCACAAGTTAAAGTCCTTGAGGAAAGGGGGAGGGTAAGGAGCCCTTGATGTCTTGTAAATGAAGCAGTCAAATGGAGTTTGTCTGGTTTTCTCAGCTAAGGGAGAGTCTATTCATATTAAAAACAAAGTTAGCTATCTAAGGAAGAGTCTATTCATGTTAATACAAGGTTGGGTATTACAAAACATCTGTTCATGATCTGGAAATTCTTCTGTGTTAGTTCTGTTAAAAGCAAAACTTTAAAAGAGTTTAATTGAGCAATAAACAATTCACGAATCGGACAGTCCCCAGAATCACAGCAGATTCACAGAGACTCCAGCGCAGTCATGTGGTGGAAGAAGATTTATAGACAAAAGGGAAGAGGCATACCAAAATCGGAAGTGAGGTACAGAAACAACTCAGCGTTTGCCTTGTTTGAACACAGTTTGAACATTTGGCAGCGCCTGAGTGGTTGAAGTTTGGCCATTGGGATTGGCCAAGATGTAGCTGTTGTTCCAGATGCATACTCTCAAGTTAGTTTTTCATTCTTATCTACCTATTAAGGTAGGTTGCAGTTCATCCACAAGGACTCATATATAGAATTATGGAGCCCTTCTCAGGCCATACTTAGTTCACTTTAACAATGCCTTCCCTTTGGTTATTTTCTCAATTTTGAGAGATTGCCCAAAACTTCAGTCACTGGTGTCACTGTTACCATTGCAAATGTACTTACTTGGTTTAGAAACCCACTGGGAAATAGACCAGTGAGATTTGAAAAGGTGGAACAAGGACTTGAGTAGAAGGTATCTTCTTATGCTGGAACGTCCTGTTTACAGGAGAAAAACAAAACCTGGTTTGTTCTAGGATTTATGTGTTTCCTTAAACTCTTAGTTTGATTATGTTACATTTAGCATGAGTGACTCCATTTTGGTTTGGTTTGGTCTGTTGGGACCTATTGCATGAGCTTAGTTCAAAACCATGGCCTCCCATAATTTTGCTTAAAAAATTCCTCCTTTTGGCTGGGCACAGTGGCTCACACCTGTAATCCCAGCACTTTGGGAGGCTGAGGTGGGCAGATCACAAGGTCAGGAGATTGAGACCATCCTTGCTAATACGGTGAAACCCCGTCTCTACTAAAAATACAAAAAATTTGCCAAGCATCGTGGCGGTTGCCTGTAGTCCCAGCTACTCAGGAGGCTGAGGCAGGATAATGGCCTTAACCCAGGAGGCAGAGCTTGCAGTGAGCCAAGATCGTGCCACTGCACTCCACTCTGGGGGACAGAGCAAGACTCTGTCTTAGAAAAAAAAAATCCTCCTTTTCAGTCAAGTTCTCACTTAGCTGAGAGTGTGACCAAAATGTAGGGCCTTAGCATCACTCTTAGTTACCATTGTTTTGGGTTCTGGTTTTAGCATGTCACTCCCATTCTTTTGGGTTCTGGTTTTAGCATGTCACTCCCATTGTTTTGGGTTTCCAGGTTTAGCACGTCACTCCCATTGTTTTGGGTTTTTGTTTTAGCACGTCACTCCCATTGTTTTGGGTTCCAGTTTAAACACATCACTTCCATTGTTTTCATTTCCTGTTTTAGCACGTCACACCCATTGTTTTAGGTTCTGGTTTAAGCACATCACTCCCATTGTTTTCATTTCCGGTTTTAGCACGTCACTCCCATTGTTTTGGGTTTCTGGTTTAGCAGGGCACTCCCATTGTTTTGGGTTCTGATTTTAGCACATCACTCCCATTGTTTTGGGTTCCGGTTTTAGCAAGACACTCCCATTGTTTTGGGTTTCTGGTTTAGCACGTCACTCCTATTGTTTTGGGTTCTGGTTTTAGTGCACGTCACTCCCATTGTTTTGGGTTCCAGTTTTACTACATCACTCCCATTGTTTTGGGTTTCTGGTTTAGCATGTCACTCCCATTGTTTTGGGTTTCCGGTTTAGCATGTCACTCATAGGTTACAGTGTCCTTATGGTTGCACATTTTTTTTAATCTCTTGTCATTCCAGTTGAAGAGATACCATTTGACATTTTAGAGATGGCTGCATGTAAACTCTTAAAATATTTGAGTAAGTACAGTGCACCAGGGAGACTCTTATGACTATTGGGATAACACCAATAATTTTGTATATGCTCCTTACTCAGGGTCCCCATAAATCAAACCACCTAAAATCAAATAGATTAAAGAATGAATTAGATAAAGAGTTTACTTGCTTAACTAAGTGGGTTTTTTTGTTAATTCCCCACAACCAAATCTTTATAATACCCGATGTTTTCTCCATATGCTATAAGTGTTAGCAGCTGCACAGATAATTAAGATAAGAGTCTCATGAGAGCAGAGAAGTCTTGATCTGTGATCTTGGGAAAAGCTGTTCACATTAAGGATGCTATCTTCTTCTGGGGGGAACTGTCCTTGTTAGCTTTACCTTAAGGGTTCTAATGGGTATATGGTTCTGATTGTGGAGGGACCCTTCTGAGTTGTGAGACTATGAACCCAAAGTTTAAGGTTTTAAAGTTTTGCTGTCATGTGGATGGCAAGGGCAGTCCTTCTCTGATGTTCTCAGAAGATCCAGTCATCAGATTCTAGATTGTGAAGGGGTTGACTGTCCTCAGTGAACCATAAAAGGCTTTCTTTAGCTGGTGAAATTACACTTCAGCGTAATAATCTACTGTTTTAACATCAACTCTCTTGCATGGAAGAGCTTTTATACAATCAGAAAACATGCACTGAAAATGACAACTGAATGAAATCTCTTTATAAAATGTTTAAATGGCCCATCAGGTAACCAAATATACTTGAAGTTTTGATTATTTTCCTAGAAATATAGGTTTGATGAACCAAACATTGGTTATAAACTATTTTAGCAATTTAGAAATCACCACACCAATATATTTAATTTGGATCATTTTCTCTTTCCATGATGAATTATGGAATGCAGAACTTTTAGTAACAAAAGTTTTAAGGACTTAAGAAGGACAAGGTGGCCATCCCGGTTCTTCATAAGTCCGTGCTTAATTAACATTAGACTTACATCCTCTTGAATACCAGCTGTTTCTCCAAATTAGGTGCGTGGCACTGGTAACTGATGAGTAGTTATAGGTAATTTGACTTAGACCTTGGAGTTTATTTAAATTATATATCTAAACAATTTCAATATTGGTGATTTAGCATGCAAATGTGGCAAAATATTTCCTTGGTATACAATTTTTGTTTTACTTGGGTTGGCAGTTTTATAAACCAGTTGGTCTTTTTTTTAAACTTTTGGGATTTTTTTTTTGAGACAGAGTCTCACTCTGTTACCTAGGTTGGAGTGCAGTGGCACAATCTTGGCTCACTGCAACCTCCGCCTCCTGGGTTCAAGCAATTCTCCTGCCTCAGCCTCCCGAGTAGCTGGGATTACAGTCACATACCACCACACCCGGCTAATTTTTGTATTTTTAGTAGAGGCGGGGTTTCACCATTGGCCAGGCTGGTCTCAAACTCCTGACCTCAAGTGATCCACCGGCCTTGGCCTCCCAAAGTGCTGGGATTGCCGACATGAGCCGCTGCACCCAGCCTCACTTTTGAGAATTCTTAACCAGTCTAATTCTTGGGGGATCGGGGAACTTATGGGGAATTTTTACCCATGATATTAAAGTTATTAGAAATCTGTGTTCACGAGTGTTTCTCAGGGTCCTTTTCATTCTTTCATGGATCTTCTAAGAGACACCATATTCTACAATTTTGCATGCTTGTGAAGTTTTTAGAAACTGCATCACCATTAAGCAATTAACTGTGGAAATGACTTTAAATAGTTATAGTTAAAGACAATTGACAAGGAAATTTGGTTATTTCTGTGGTCTACAATAACTTAATAACCATAATTAGGGTGGATGTGGTGGCTCATGCCTGTAATCCCAGCTCTTTGGGAGGCCAAGTTAGGTGGATCACCTGAGGTCAGGAGTTTGCGACCAGCCTGGCAAACATGGTAAAACCCTGTCTCTACTAAAAATAAAAAAATTAGCCGGGTGTGGTGGCAGATGTCTGTAATCCCAGCTACTTGGGAGGCTGAGGCAGGAGAATCGCTTGAACCCAGGAGGTGGAGGCTTCAGTGAGCCTAGATCACACCATTGCACTCCAGCCTAGGTGACAAGAGTGAAACTCTGTCTCAAAACAAACAAAACATGTAATTATGATAGATAGCATATAGACATATTAGAATTTTAGAAATCCTGGCCAGGTGCAGTGGCTCACGCCTGTAATCCCAGCACTTTGGGAGGCCGAGGTGGAAGGATCATGAGGTCAGGAGATTGAGACCATCCTGGCTAACACAGTGAAACCCCGTCTTTACTAAAAAAACAAAAATTAGCCTGGCATGGTGGTGGGTGCCTGTAGTCCCAGCCCAGCTACTCGGGAGGCTGAGGCAGGAGAATGGCATGAACCCGGGAGGTGGAGGTTACAGTGAGCTGAGATTGCACCACTGTACTCCAGCCTGGGTGACAGAGCAAGACTCCATCTCAGAAAAAAAAAAAAAAAAAAAAAAAAAACACACAAGAATTTTAGAAATCCTATACAATTTTAGAATGGATTGATGACATGCACCTGAAGAAGGTTCAACATTATTTTTTATTTTGACAGTGCTACCCACGTGACTTAACATGTTAAATAGTCCTGTTTACCTCTCTTTTGGGTGCTTCAGGGGCCTCTGTTTTATCCCAAAGTTAGAGGTCAGAAAAGACAATTTTGAAGTTGAAATTTGATTTTGGGAAGCCTATTAAATATATTAAAGGTTTAAACACTTGATGTTATGAAATAGACTTCCAGGTCACCATAAGTCATTCATTTACCTAAATCACGACTTTAAACTTTTTTTTTTTTTTTTTTTTTTTTGAGACGGAGTCTCGTTCTGTCGCCCAGGCTGGAGTGCAGTGGCGTGATCTCGGCTCACTGCAAGCTCCGCCTCCCGGGTTCACGCCATTCTCCTGCCTCAGCCTCCCGAGTAGCTGGGACTACAGGCGCCCGCTACCACGCCCGGCTAATTTTTTGTATTTTTAGTAGAGATGGGGTTTCACCATGTTAGCCAGGATGGTCTCGATCTCCTGACCTCGTGATCCACCCGCCTCGGCCTCCCAAAGTGCTGGGATTACAGGCGTGAGCCACCGCGCCCGGCCAACTTTAAACATTTTTAAAGGGCAAAAATCTTTACTCATTGATAGAGGAAAGACTTATCTTCACAAACGATCTGCCTCTTGTTTTTCCTTTTTTTTCTTTTTGGTAGTTTGTTTACAAGGCAAACAAATTTTTCATTTCTTTTATTTTATTTTATTTTATTTTATTTTATTATTATTATTACACTTTAAGTTTTAGGGTATATGTGCCCAATGTGCCAGTTAGTTACATATGTATACATGTGACATTCTGGTGTGCTGCACCCATTAAGTCGTCATTTAGCATTAGTTATATCTTCTAATGCTATCCCTCTCCCCTCCCCCCACCCCACAACAGTCCCCAGAGTGTGATGTTCCCCTTCCTGTGTCCATGTGTTCTCATTGTTCAATTCCCATCTATGAGTGAGAACATGCAGTGTTTGGTTTTTTCTCCTTGCAATAGTTTACTGAGAATGATGATTTTCAGTTTCATCCATGTCCCTACAAAGGACATGAACTCATCATTTTTTATGGCTGCATAGTATTCCATGGTGTATATGTGCCACAATTTCTTAATCCAGTCTATCATTGTTGGACATTTGGGTTGGTTCCAAGTCTTTGCTATTGTGAATAGTGCCACAATAAACATACGTGTGCATGTGTCTTTATAGAAGCATGATTTATAGTCCTTTGGGTATATACCTAGTAATTGGATGGCTGGATCAGATGTTATTTCTAGTTCCAGATCCTTGAGGAATCGCCACACTGACTTCCACAATGGTTGAACTAGTTTACAGTCCCACCAACAGTGTAAAAGTGTTCCTATTTCTCCACATCCTCTCCAGTACCTGTTGTTTCCTGACTTTTTAATGATTGCCATTCTAACTGATGTGAGATGGTGTCTCATTGTGGTTTTGATTTGCATTTCTCTGATGGCCAGTGATGATGAGCATTTTTTCATGGGTCTTTTGGCTGCATAAATGTCTTCTTTTTAGAAGTGTCTGTTCATAGCCTTCGCCCACTTTTTAATGGGGTTGTTTGTTTTTTTCTTGTAAATTTGTTTAAGTTCATTGCAGATTCTGGATATTAGCCCTTTGTCAGATGAGTAGGTTGCAAAAATTTTCTCCCATTTTGTAGGTTGCCTGTTCGCTCTGATGGCAGTTTCTTTTGCTGTGCAGAAGCTCTTTAGTTTAATTAGATCCCATTTGTCAATTTTGGATTTTGTGGCCATTGCTTCTGGTGTTTTAGACATGAAGTCCTTCCCATGCCTATTTCCTGAATGGTAATGCCTAGTTTTTCTTCTAGGGTTTTTATGGTTTTAGGTCTAACATTTAAGTCTTTAATGCATCTTGAATTAATTTTTGTATAAGGTGTAAGGAAGGGATCCAGTTTCATCTTTCTACATATGGTTAGCCAGTTTTCCCAACACCATTTATTAAATAGGGAATCCTTTCCCCATTGCTTGTTTTTCTCAGGTTTGTCAAAGATCAGATAGTTGTAGATATGCGGTGTTATTTCTGAGGGCTCTGTTCTACTCCATTGATCTATATCTCTGTTTTTGTACCAGTACCATGCTGTTTTTATTACTGTAGCCTTGTCGTATAGTTTGAAGTCAGGTAGCATGATGCCTCCAGCTTTGTTCTTTTGGCTTAGGATTGATTTGGTGATGCGGGCTCTTTTTTGGTTCTATATGAACTTTAAAGTAGTTTTTTCCAATTCTGTGAAGAAAGTCATTGGTAGCTTGATGGGGATGGCATTGAATCTATAAATTACCTTGGGCAGTATAGCCATTTTCACGATATTGATTCTTCCTATCCGTGAGCATGGAATGTTCTTCCATTTGTTTGTATCCTCTTTTATTTCATTGAGCAGTGTTTTGTAGTTCTCCTTGAAGAGATCCTTTGCGTCCCTCATAAATTAGATTCCTAAGTATTTTATTCTCTTTGAAGCAATTGTGAATGGGAGTTCACTCATGATTTGGCTCTCTGTTTGTCTGTTATTGGTGTATAAGAATGCTTGTGATTTTTGTACATTGATTTTGTATCCTGAGACTTTGCTGAAGTTGCTTATCAGCTTAAGGAGATTTTGGGCTGAGACAATGAGGTTTTCTAGATATACAATCATGTCGTCTGCAAACAGGGACAATTTGACTTCCTCTTTTCCTAATTGAATACCCTTTATTTCCTTCTCCTGCCTAATTGCCCTGGCCAGAACTTCCAACACTATGTTGAATAGGATTGGTGAGAGAGGGCATCCCTGTCTTGTGCCAGTTTTCAAAGGGAATGCTTCCAGTTTTTGCCCATTCACTATGATATTGGCTGTGGCTTTGTCATAGATAGTTCTTATTATTTTGAGATATGTCCCATCAATACCTAATTTATTGAGAGTTTTTAGCATGAAATGTTGTTGAATTTTATCAAAGGCCTTTTCTGCATCTATTGAGATAATCACGTAGTTTTTGTCTTTGGCTCTGTTTATATGCTGGATTACATTTATTGATTTGCGTATATTGACCCAGCCTCGCATCCCAAGGATGAAACCCACTTGATCATGGTGGATAAGCTTTTTTATGTGCTGTTGGATTTGGTTTGCCGGTATTTTATTGAGGATTTTTGCATCGATGTTCATCAAGGATATTGGTCTTAAATTCTCTTTTTTAGTTGTGTCTCTGCCCGGCTTTGGTATCAGAATGATGCTGGCCTCATAAAATGAGTTAGGGAGGATTCTCTCTTTTTCTGTTGATTGGAATAGTTTCAGAAGGAATGGTACCAGTTCCTCCTTGTACCTCTGGTAGAATTCGGCTGTGAATCCATCTGGTCCTGGACTCTTTTTGGTTGGTAAGCTATTGATTATTACCATAATTTCAGATCCTGTTATTGGTCTATTCAGAGATTCAACTTCTTCCTGGTTCAGTCTTTGGAGAGTGTATGTGTGGAGGAATTTATCCATTTCTTCTAGATTTTCTAGTTTATTTGCGTAGAGGTGTTTGTAGTATTCTCTGATGGTAGTTTGTATTTCTGAGGGATCAGTGGTGATATCCCCTTTGTCATTTTTTATTGTGTCTATTTGATTCTTCTCTTTTTTTCTTTATTAGTCCTTCTAGCGGTCTATCAATTTTGTTGATCCTTTCAAAAAACCAGCTCCTGGATTCATTAATTTTTTGAAGGGTTTTTTTGTCGCTATTTCCTTCAGTTCTGCTCTGATTTTAGTTATTTCTTGCCTTCTGCTAGCTTTTGAATGTGTTTGCTCTTGCTTTTGTAGTTCTTTTAATTGTGATGTTAGGGTGTCAATTTTGGTTCTTTCCTGCTTTCTCTTGTGGGCATTTAGTGCTATAAATTTCCCTCTACACACTGCTTTGAATGTGTCCCAGAGATTCGGGTATGTTGTGTCTTTGTTCTCCTTGGTTTCAAAGAACATCTTTATTTCTGCCGTCATTTCGTTATGTACCCAGTAGTCATTCAGGAGCAGGTTATTCAGTTTCCATGTAGTTGAGCAGTTTTAAGTGAGTTTCTTAATCCCGAGTTCTAGTTTGATTGCACTGTGGTCTGAGAGACAGTTTGTTATAATTTCTGTTCTTTTACCTTTGCAGAGGAGGGCTTTACATCCAAGTATGTGGTCAATTTTGGAATAGGTATGGTGTGGTGCTGAAAAAATGTATATTCTGTTGATTTGGGGTGGAGAGTTCTGTAGATGTCTATTAGGTCCGCTCGGTGCAGAGCTGAGTTCAATTCCTGGGTATCCTTGTGAACTTTCTGTCTCATTGATCTCTCTAATATTGACAGTGGGGTGTTAAAGTCTCCCATTATTATTGTGTGGGAGTCTAAGTCTCTTTGTAGGTCACTCAGGACTTGCTTTATGAATCTGTGTGCTCCTGTATTGGGTGCATATATATTTAGGATAGTTAGCTCTTCTTGTTGAATTGATCCCTTTACCATTATGTAATGGCCTTCTTTGTCTCTTTTGATCTTTGTTGGTTTAAAGTCTGTTTTATCAGAGACTAGGATTGCAACCCCTGCCTTTTTTTGTTTTCCATTTGTTTGGTAGATTTTCCTCCATCCTTTTATGTTGAGCCTGTGCATGTCTCTGCACGTGTGATGGGTTTCCTGAATACAGCACACTGATGGGTCTTGACTCTTTATCCAATTTGCCAGTCTGTGCCTTTTAATTGGAGCATTTAGTCCATTTACATTTAAAGTTAATATTGTTATGTGTGAATATGTTCCTGTCATTATGATGTTAGCTGGTGATTTTGCTCATTAGTTGATGCAGTTTCTTCCTAGTCTCGATGGTCTTTACAATTTGGAATGTTTTTGCAGTGGCTGGTACTGATTGTGCCTTTTCATGTTTAGTGCTTCCTTCAGGAGCTCTTGTAAGGCAGGCCTGGTGGTGACAAAATCTCTCAGCATTTGTTGTCTGTAAAGTATTTTATTTCTCCTTCACTTATGAAGCTTAGTTTGGCTGGATATGAAATTCCGGGTTGAAAATTCTTTTCTTTAAGAATGTTGAATATTGGCCCCCACTCTCTTCTGGCTTGTAGAGTTTCTGCCGAGAGATCAGCTGTTAGTCTGATGGGCTTCCCTTTGTGGGTAACCCGACCTTTCTCTCTGGCTGCCCTTAACATTTTTTCCTTCATTTCAACTTTGGTCAATCTGACAATTATGTGTCTTTGAATTGCTGTTCTCGAGGAGTATCTTTGTGTGGTTCTCTGTATTTCCTGAATCTAAATGTTGGCCTGCCTTGCTAGATTGGGGAAGTTCTCCTGGTTAATATCCTGCAGAGTGTTTTCCAACTTGGTTCCATTCTCCCCGTCATTTTCAGGTACACCAATCGGACGCAGATTTGGTCTTTTCAGATAGTCCCATATTTCTTGGAGACTTTTTTCATTTCTTTTTATTCTTTTTTCTCTAAACTTCCCTTCTCGCTTCATTTCATTCATTGCACTTCCATCACTGACACCCTTTCTTCCAGTTGATTGCATCAGCTCCTGAGGTTTCTGCATTCTTCACTTAGTTCTCGAGCCTTGTCTTTCAGCTCCATCAGCTCCTTTAAGCACTTCTCTGTATTGGTTATTCTAGTTATACATTCGTCTAAAGTTTTTTCAAAATTTTCAACTTCTTTGCCTTTGGTTTGAATTTCCTCCTGTAGCTCGGAGAAGTTTGATCATCTGAAGCCTTCTTCTCTCAACTCGTCAAAGTCATTCTCCATCCAGCTTTGTTCCATTTCTAGTGAGGAACTGCGTTCCTTTGGAGGAGGAGAAACACTCTGCTTTTTAGAGTTTCCAGTTTTTCTGCTCTGTTTTTTCCCCATCTTTGTGGTTTTATCTACTTTTGGTCTTTGATGATGGTGATGTACAGATGGGTTTTTGGTGTGGATATCCTTTCTGTTTGTTAGTTTTCCTTCTAACAGACAGTACCCTCTACTGCATGTCTGTTGGAGTTTGCTAGAGACCCATTCCAGACCCTGTTTGCCTGGATATCAGCAGTGGTGTCTGCAAAACCGTGGATTTCGTTATCCGCAAATGCTGCTGTCTGATCATTCCTCTGGAAGTTTTGTCTCAGAGGAGTACCCGGCCATGTGAGGTGTCAGTCTTCCCCTACTGGTTGGTGCCTCCCAGTTAGGCTGCTCAGGGCTCAGGGGTCAGGGACCCACTTGAGGAGGCAGTCTGCCCATTCTCCGATCGCCAGCTGTGTGCTGGGAGAAACACTGCTCTCCTCAAAGGTGTCAGACAGGGACATTTAAGTCTGCAGAGGTTACTGCTGTCTTTTTGTTTGTCTGTGCCCTGCCACCAGAGGTGGAGCCTGCAGAGGCAGGCAGGCCTCCTTGAGCTGTGGCGGGCTCCACCCAGTTCGAGCCTCCTGGCTGCTTTGTTTACCTAAGAGAGCATGGGTAATGGCGGGTGCCCCTCCCCCAGCCTGGCTGCCACCTTGCAGTTTGGTCTCAGACTGCTGTGTTAGCAATCAGCGAGACTCCGTGGGCGTAGGACCCTCCAAGCCAGGTGCAGGATATAATCTCCTGGTGCGCCGTTTCCTAAGCCCGTCAGAAAAGCACAGTATTAGAGTGGGAGTGGCCCAATTTTCCAGGTGCCATCTGTTACCCCTTTCCTTGCCCAGGAATGGGAACTAACTCCCTGACCCCTTGCGCTTCCCGAGTGAGGCAATGCCTCGCCCTGCTTCAGCTGGCGCATGGTGCACTTCACCCACTCTCCTGCACCCACGGTCTGGCACTCCCTAGTGAGATGAACCCAGTACCTCAAATTGAAATGCAGAAATCACCCGTTTTCTGCATCACTCATGCTGGGAGCTGTAGACCGGAGCTGTTCCTATTCGGCCATCTTGGCTCCTCCTACCATTATTTTTTAATATTATCTGAAAATCTTCTTTAAAGAGAGAAAGCCAAATGTCACCCACTTTTTCATAAAACCTTATAGGCAAATCTATTATTTTTTTTTGAGGTGGATTTTCCCTCTTGTTGCCCAGGCTGGAGTGCAATGGTGTGATCTCGGTCCACTGCAACCCCCTGCCTCCCAGGTTCAAGTGATTCTCCTGCCCCAGCCTCCTGAGTAGCTGGGATTAGAGGCAAGCCCCACCATGCTCAGCTAATTTTGTGTTTTTAGTAGACACGGGGTTTTTCCTTGTTGGTCAGGCTGGCCCTGAATTCCTGACCTCAGGAGATCCACCTGTCTCGGCCTCCCCAAGTGTTGGGATTACAGGCATGAGCCACTGCCTCTGGCCATTTTTTTTTTAAAGATAGCGTCTTGCTCTGTCACCCTCCTCACCACATTATAGCTATGGGAGCCAAGCTGCATCACAGTGGAAATCATGGAGACACAGGAAGAATCCACTCAGCTTTGCAAGATGCTGCCCAAGGGGTTGCTTGGAGTAACCAAATTAACATTTTTCATTCTGCTCAGAGCAAAATACATATGACAAAACATAGACACGAACCACTTTGCTTAGCACCCAGTGTCAAACTGGTAAGACTCAAACTTGCTCCCAGATAGGCCGTGCCATCTCTAAATCTTTTTAGAAGCTTCTGCATATTAATAGGCATCCCTAGATGAGACTAATTTGGGAGGCCTCATTTTTAAATGCATTCCAGGGCATTATTCATTTGGAATGTTCCACTGTAAGTTATCTTTAGTAAGATTTTGCCATTTCTGTAAGACTTTGCTGCTTCCCAGGCCTAATGAATTAGCCAGAAGGAGCTTAGTTTTCCAGAAATTAAGGATCCTATTTTTACCTAATATATTGGCTTTACTCCCAGGTTCCCTTGATTGACTTAGCCAATTTTTTTTTTCCTACCTAAGCGTGCGAGGAAAATGAAACAAAGGTGTAGAACACAAAAATCCCCGTGAATTTTCAAAAGCCAAATTTTACAACCCTCCAATATTATCATTTATTACCACTTTCTTTCTGACCCATTCAGATGTAGGAGGCCTCTAACTGGAACTGGATTCAAGCCAGTTAACTACTGGATGAAATCTGATCCTGGACCCAGTCCCGTTTCTGTTATAACTTCTAAAACATCCAGCCAGTCATGGCTGGATAGCAGTTTGGAACAGAAATTTGCTCAAAGAAACTCAGAGCTCAAAACACAAATCCATGGAGCTCTGAAATCCGAGAGAGAATTTACCATGATCCCCAGCTGCTCCGAGAGGTCAAAAGGCACAAGTGTTACAGAATCCTGAGGCATCACTTTTCTGCCTGAAACCTCTGGCTGGTGGCGCTTTTTCCTGTGTTTTGCTCGGGCCCACTGGGTTCGTTCTGTCCACTCAGCTCATGCTAGTGGTCTGGATCCCACACATGCCAAGGGTGAACTGGGTACAGAGCAGTGAAGGGTGTGTGAGCAAGCGAGCATGGGATCTAGCCACTGCACACAGCCAAGCATGCCAGCTGCAGTGGAGTGGGCAGCTCCAGGCACCGGCACAGGTGCCAGCTCCCTGTGAGGCAGCAGCTGGACCAGGCCGACTGCAAACAGCTTCCACTGTGGGTATCAGGGTATGCAGTGGCGCCCGGAAGCTTGGAGATGCAGGAACTGCAGAGCCCCAAAGAAGGTGTCACAGCTCTGGCTTGGGGAGCTCCTATGTCTGGGATCCCTGAAAGGCCACAGCTCTTCTCTCCTTCTCTCTTCTCTTCTTCTTGCCTGCAATTTGGCACGCAAGGGGTGCGTTTCAGCCCTGTTTATGTTACATCTCTTTCAGCGCTGCTAGTTGGCAGGTCTCAAGTTCTAGTCCTGAGTCCAGGAAGAATGAGGTATGTGGACAAGTAGAAGGTGAGCAAGGTGAAGAGGTGCTTTATTGAGCAACAGTACAGCTCAGAGGGGACCTGCAGTGGGTAGCTCCTTTCTGCAGGCAGGTCATCCCAACGTCTGTTCAGCTCTCAGCAGCTGAGAGAGACGCACAGTGGGTAGCTGTGCCCACAGTGCCCAGGCTGTTCGAGCTGAGTAGTGCCTTCAGGCCAGTGCTGAGCCACTCTTAGCCCCACCTCAACCTCCCTCCTGTGCTCGTCAGTGCCCAAAGTCTGGAAGGGGCTGAGGTGGCAGGGGGCTGGCAACCGGGCTGGGTTGTGACTGTGCCTGGGTTCAGCCTTAACTTGGATCCGAAGTTGGAGTGGGGTCTGGGAGCAGAGAGACGCCAGGTGGTGGGACCAGGTACAACTGAGCCTGCGGGGGCAGGGGGGCTTGCTGGGCCTCTGAGAGTGCAAAGATGCCTGGGTTTGCAGTCATGGCTGGATGGCTGCAGCTGTGCCTGGGAGGGTGGGGCTCCTGCTTGCCAATTTAGAAAGGGTGGGGCTCCCACCTGTTCCTGGCTCCCACCAGCTTCGAGGAGTGCACAGGCCCAGCCATTCCTCCCCACTGCAGCCAGTGTCTCCGTAGCAACTGCTCCACGTGGGCCACTGCTGGCATCACAATGCGGTCCTTGCAGGTGCCTTTCTTGTACCTCAGCACTCCTGGGGGTCATTAGAAGCCCTAGCAACACTGCTCACCACACTATAGCTCTGGAGGCCCTAGCAGTCCTGCTCCCACAGATCCCACTTCTGACACCATCTATTAAAAGAAAATCTTCAGCTGAATTAAATTTAAAGGAACTTAATTGAGCAATGAATGATTCACGAATCAGGCAGCCCCAGAATCACAGCAGATTCAGTGAGACTCCAGCACAGCTACATGGTGGAAGATTTATAGACAATAAAGGGAACCTGATGTACAGAAATCTGAAGTGAGGAGTGAGGTCCAGAAGCAATTGGGTCCGTTACAGTTCTCAGCAGTGAGGTCCAGAAACAACTGGACTGGTTACAGTGCTCAGCATTTGCCTTATTTGAACACAGCTGAACACTCAGCTGTGTGTGAGTGGCAGAAGTTTGGCTGTTGGGATTGGCCAGGACTGAGCTATAGTTACAGGTGCATACTCCTAAGTTAGGTTTTCAGTTTTTCTACCTATTAAGTTAGGTTGCAGTTTGCCCACAGGGACTCAAATCTAGAAGTACAGAATCCTTCCCAGGTCATATTTAGTTCACTGTAATAGTTCCTATTATGACCTCACTGACAGTTCTTTTTCTCTGAATTCTCCTTTCTTCTCAACAGTTTATCCAAATGTTCCGTTGGTCGCTGTTCATCCCGCCCTGCAGTTCTCCTAGACTGATTCAACCCTTTGTGGTTTGCCGTCCTGTTTCTCTACAGCTTGGACCTCTTATTCTTTCCATCATAGGTTTAACACTCTGTTGAATGCTTCTTTGTAGCTATCCAAAATTTACCTTAAGCTCAAAAAATTCAAAGTGAAAGCCACATCCTTCTCTCTTCCCTTCTGTGTATGGTATTACTACCATGAGCCAGTGACCCAAAATAGGATTTCTTCTGGGCTTTTCTTGCTTATATTCAGGCTCATCTGGTGTCAAGCCTTGTTACTTTTGTTTCTTTGTTCTTTTATTTTTAATTTTTTTTCTTTTGAGACAAAGTTTCACTCTTGTTGCCCAGGCTAGAGCTCAGTGGTGTGATCTCAGCTCACTGCAGGCTTCACCTCCCAGATTCAAGCAATTCTCCTGCCTCAGCTCCTGAGTAGCTGGTATTACAGGCATTTGCCACCACGCCCGGCTAATTTTGTATTTTTAGTAGAGATGGGATTTACTGTTTCGATCAGGGTGGTCTCGAACTCCCTACCTCAGGTGATCTGCCCGCCTCGGCCTACCAAAGTGCTGGGATTACAGGCATGAGCCACCGTGCCTGGCCTGCTTGTTGTTTTCATCTCATCCTGATTTCCGAATACAGGAGAGGAGCTGAGTTGGTGTTCACTAACAAGCACGGCAGCTTTGTTACATTTACTGTGTCATTCTTGTCAAAACCTGAAGGGTGTGTTTGTGGGGTGACGAGGTTCAGTCCCCTGTGACCTGTGCATCTGGCCAGCACTGTGGTGACATCCTTAGGAATCCATGGGGAAAGAGAAAGCATTCCAGAGTTAGTGGGTCACGTTTGACAAGGGCCAGTAAAGAAATATGCAAAGACAAAAAACAAGAAGAACATTGTCATATTTTCTACCTTTTGTTTATATAAATTTATGTCAATGATTCTAGCTTATGTTAATATGCAATGTATACAATATGCTAACATATACAATATATGTTTATAGTTTAAACATTTCTGTCATGTTTTCAGATTCTTTAAAGATTATATTACACTTCCTATTTCAGATAGCTGCTTAAAATGAGTAAGGAAAAACGGATGTGTGCATCAGTTGTAACTGTTTATGGACTAAAACTAGTTGATTTCCTGGTTAAGAACAAAAAGTGACAAACTAGTTAACTGAAAATTTTAAGTAGGCAATTATAGTTTTAGCTTTAAAGTAAAATATTAACTATGCTCCATTCTTGCATTTTTAACCTAATACTCAATATAAATCGCCACATGCCATGTTTCAGATCAAGGTTCTACTTGTGATCTCTCATGAGTTTTTCAAGGTTTTAATTATCTGCGATGAAACTACATACCAGTAACCTTACTGGCTTAAACCAGGAATTTATTCTTTTTCCATGTCACAATTTTCTGGGTCAAGACACTGGAGAGAGCGGTGTGGGTTGGCTGCTTCATGATGTCCCTGGTCTCATCTGGAAGGACTCTAATGGCTGGGGACGTGAAGCAGGCACCCAGAAGGACTCTAGTGGCTGGGGACATGGAGCAGGCACCCAGCCCTCTCTTTGTGGCCAGCACGGACTTCCTTCCAGTCTGGCAGCGTCAGGTAGTCAGGTTTGTCTGGCTTCTCCCAGGGTGTGTGTCCAAGAGGCCCAGGCAAAAGCTGTAAGGCCTCTCATGATTGCCCCTCAAAAGTCCCAGAGCATCCCTCCTGCCACACTGTCCAGTTGTACTCATCACTGAGACCAGCCATGATTCAAGGGGGATAGGTGATTAGATTCCACCTCTTGATGAGAAGCATAGTAGGAACCTGCAGCAGTCTTTAATAAACCACAGCTTGTCCTCTGGCCACAAACTATTAACGCTTCTCCCACATGCAAATTATTCTTTGCCCCTCTCAAGAGCCCCAGAATGGTTTTCCTTATGGCACTGGCTGGTAGCCCAACTGAATCCTGAATCAGGTTGTGGTGGCCTGTCATCTGCACCCACACACACAGCCACAGTGAGGACTGAATCAGGTTGTGGTGGCCTGTCATCTGCACCTGACACACTCAGCCGCAGTGAGGACTGAATCAGGTTGTTGTGACCTATCATCTGCACCCACACACTCAACCACAGTGAGGGGAGTGGTGTGAAAACAGTCGGCATTTCCCTTTAGAAGCTGTTGGTGGGAGGTAGGAGGGAGGTGCTGCCCTGCAGGCCCCGTCTAACAGTTGGTCATTCCCATGGGGCGCCTGTTACAGTTCTGTGATTAGTGCCCAGTCCTGGTCCCTGAGAACCGCGCCCAGTCCTGGTCCCTGAGAACGGCGTTTGTGTCCTTTTACTCCTCCCTCTGGGCTTTTGTCATTCTCCATGTTCTTTTTCCTTCATTGCCTGGGTTGCCGTTGACCAAATTTCTCTGCCTCTTTCTTATGGTCAATAGGGTATTCAATGGCTTCTTTTTCATTTTTTTTTCCTTTTCTTTTCTTTTTTTTTTTTTTTGCTTTGGCCTTTTGAGACAAGAAATTATTTCTTTATATTTTCTCTAAATTCTGTTTGAAAACTGAACCTCCTTCTTTAGATCATGTCCCTCTCCTGTCATATTTATTCAGTGACAGTTAAGGGAGGCTTGTAGCACTTTCCATGTTCTTCCCAGATGTCTCCTTAGGCAGATCGCTGAGATGGTGCAGTGCCCTTTCAGTTTCCATGTTGTGGCCGTAGTTTTCTCACAGTCCCTCAGCACGTAACTCTCAGGCCTTTTCTCCAGTTTCCAATGACATTTTCTCACAGTCCTTCAGGCCCTGACCAAGAGTCTTGATGCCCTTCCAGGTTGCATGAAAGGTCTCCTTGAGGCCCAGTTACAGGTCGGCCTCACAGTCGTGGCACATATTGTAGCTTCTGATTACTACAGTGGCTCATTTCCAGCTGCTATATTCTGTTCCAGTTATCTATTCTGAAGAAACCATCCCCAAAACTTGGCAGCTTAAAACAACTCATTATTACTTGTTTTTTGGCTTAGAGAGTCTTGGTGGCCAGCTCATCTCACACACAGTTGCAGCCAAGCTGGATTGTGTGAAAGCACAGCGGGGTGGTGTGCAGGGTGGCTCACTAGTGGTTGGGAGTGGATGTTGCTGGAGGCTCACTAGTGGTTGGGAGTCGGTGTTGCTGGAGGCTCAGTGAGGGATGTCAATGCGTGTAGCTAGTCATGGACTGGCCGTGTGGTTTCCATCATGGGGTCTCAGGGGAGTGGGATTTCCTGCCTGGTGACTGGCTTTCTCCTGGATAAGTGTTCTGTTTTCTCAGCCTGGCTTCTGAAGTCCCCAAATACCACCTTTGTCACCTTCTGTTGGCCAAATAAGTCAGTAGTCTGGGCAAGGTTTAAGGGGAATTGGTTCTCACAGAGAGAGGAGCAGGAAAGAAGTTGTCACCTTTAGTCTACCTGAAATGTGATTTTTATAAAAACTTTGTTCCAAATACATTCCAGTTCCCCTTGTGAATACTTTTTTGACTCACAGGATATTTCAAAGTTTATTACTTGGTTTTCAGACATTTGAGGCTTTTCTGGATATCAATTGGTTGTTGGTTTCTAATTTAATTTCAAGTGTTCAGAGAAACATACTTTGTATACTATTTCAGGCTTGAACCTTTCCTCAATCGATCAACATACAGTCTAACTTGGTACTGCCAAGTACCATTTGGGTCAGGATTTTGTCATTTAGATCCGTATTTTTCCTATATTTTTATCTGGTTGTTCCGTCAGTTACTGAGGGAGCAGTATTAATTCACCAGCTATAATTTTGGATTGTCAATTTCCTGCTTTTGTTCTGTTGTTTTTGATTCACATACTTTGAGGCTCTGTGAGTGTGTGTACTTTGTGTGGACTTTGAGGCACAATTTATAATTGTAACATCATCCTCTCTGATTCTTTTATTTTTATGAAATTAGCCTGTTTATTTCTGGTGATATATTTTATTCTGAAGCCTCTTTCATCTAGTGTTAACATCTCCATTGAAGCTTTTTATGATTAGTGTCTGGATAGCATAATTTTATGATTAGTGTCTGCATAGCATATTTTTTTCTCATACTTTGTGTCTTTGTGTTTAAATTGTGTCTCTGTGGATGCCATATTATTGGGTCTTGCTTTCCTCTCAGGTCTGGCAGTCTCTGTCTTAAGTAGAGTATTTGTCCAGTTACATTGTAACTAATCATTGCTAAGGTTGGTTTTAGGTCTGCCATGTTTCTACTTATTTTCTATTTGTTTATTTTTTTTAAGACAGGGTCTTGCTCTGTCACCCAGACTGTAGTGCAATGGTGCAATCTTGGCTCACTGCAACCTCTGCCTCCCAGGCCCAACCAATCTTCACTTGAGACCCCTGAGTAGCTGGGACTACAGGTACATGGCACCACACCTGGCTAATTTTTATATTTTTTGTAGAGATAGGGTTTTGCCATGTTGCACGGGCTGGTCTTGAACTCCTGAGCTCAAGCAATCTACCCACATTGGCCTCCCAGAGTGTTCAGATTACAGGCATAAGCCACCATGCCTGGCCTTCGTCTGTCTTTTGATCTTCTATGTGTTCTTTCCTAACTTCTTTTGGGTTAAATATTTCTAAATATTCCAGTTTGATTAATCTTTTGGCTTTTTGAAATAATTTTTTATAGGCTAGGCATGGTGGCTTATGCTTGTAATCTCAGCTCTGTGGGAGGCCAAGGGAGGTGGATTGCTTGAGCCCAGGAGGTTGAGACCAGCCTGGGCAACATGGCAAAACCCTCTCTACAAGAAAACCAAACCAAAATTTAGCCTGACATCTTGGTGTGCACCTGTAGTCCCAATTATTCGGGAGGCTGAGGTGGGAGGGTTGCTTGAGCCTGAGAGGTTGAGGCTGCAATGAGCTGTGATCATGCCATTGCTCTCCTGCCAGGGCAACAGAGTAAGATCCTGTGTCAAAAAAGTTCATTTTTTTATAAATAATTTATTATTTAGAATTTTGGTAACAAATACATACCTTAAAATTTACCGTCATAACCAGTTGTAAGTATACAGTTTTGTAGAGTTAAGAATATTTACAGTGTTGTGTAGCAGATTTCTAGATTTTTATCTTGGAAAACTCTATACCCATTTAACAACTATTAATTTCCCCCTCCTTCCACCTCCTGCAAGTACTATTCTACTTTGTGTTTCTAAAAATTCGGCTTATATACCTAGGGTTATGTAATATTTGTTGTTCCATATTATGTGTCAGATGTGTCAGGATTTTCTTCCTTTCTATGGCTGAATAATATTTCTTCATATATATATATATTTTTTCCATATATATTTTTTCTATATATATATATATATTTCTATATATATATATATTTTATATATATATATATATTTTCTATATATATATATATATATTTTCTATATATATATATATATATATTTTCTATATATATATATATATCCTTTTGTTTATCCATCTATTCCCGGAGGGACGTTTTGGTTTCTTCCACCTTGTGGCTGTGTAATGCTGCTGTGAACTTAGGTGTGCACATATCTGTTTGAGGTCCTGCTACTAGTTATTCTGTCTCTGTAGAAGTTGGATGGCTGGATCATATGGTCATTTTATTTTATTTTTTTTGAGAAGCCAGTTCATATTTCCACCAACAGTGTTCAAGGGTTTCAGTTTCACCTGCACTTGTTACTTTCTGTTGGGTTTGAAGTGATGTCCTTTTGTGGTTTCTATTTGCATTTTTCTAATGACTAGTGATGTTACACATCTTCTCATATATCTCATGTATCTGTTGGCTATTTGTATATCATCTTTGTATCTTTGGATAAATGTTCTTTGTCTATTTCTTAATCACTTTATTTTGTTGTTGGGTTGTAGCGGGGTTTTTTGGTTATGATCATTCATTTATCTCACAGTTCATTCTCGTTACTTGGGCCAGGGTCATGATCATTCATTATCTCTCAGTTCATCCTCATTACGTTGGGCAAACAGTCATGCTGCAGGGTACAGATTATGTTATTCTGTTACTTTCAGGTAGAATTGGGGTCTAGGTTCTAATTGTTTCTAAGTTTAGATTCTGAATGAGAATCAGCAGAGGTAGACCACTGCTGCTGCGGCCTGGGAATTGCTGAGAAAAAGGCAGGAAACAGATACGGACCTGAGCATGGAGGGTTTTTGTTTCACAGCTCCCATCTGGTTACCCAAGGAACTTACATGTAGCTCGTGTGTGGAGAGCCTACATTGCCCACTCAAAGCAATTGAGGATGGAACAGTCTTGGGGCTGGAGCTCATTATTTGGAATGATAACCACATCTGCACAGAGAGGATCTGATAAGATGTTGTCCTTCCATGTATATCTGGGAATCCTGTGTAGGGTCTGTCTGTAAGGACAAGGGCAGTGTTGGCTCCTTGGCCTCTAGTTAGCCTCATGAGTAGTCTAGTAAAGGCTTTGCAAACTTGTCACCATCTGTGGAAATTCTGGCCAGCTCTTGTTTTCACCCTACTGACTTCTTCAGACACTAGGCTTTTGCTTCAGACCATTCATGGTTTTTCTTCCTCTTCAAATCAGTAATCAATAAAACCTCTTCAAATCAATAAATTTCCACTCCTTTAGGAAACTCTGATCTTCTGGTCATGCCAAGGTTTAATTAACTGGTTTGATTGTTTTTCTGTTTTCTTGGTTTCTTTTTCCTTCTTCCTGGGGGTTTCTAGTAATTTTAGTTTGATGTCTCACTTTCTCCATTTTTTATTTCTTAGTTTTCTTCTGTGATTATTTTCACTGCAGCTGCAGGGCCTAATCCTGGGTTGGCAGAGAACAAGCACTTACTCTGCCCTAATTGGAATCCAGGAGAGATAGGAGGTGCCCTAGTATGAAAATGTGTTTGCTCCTTTCTGCTTCTGGTAGTCTCTCTGTAGGAGTACTTTACGTATTCTGGATGTTCACTTCTTATGAGATACATGATGTGCAATTATAGATTGAATGTCTCTGATCCAAAAATCTGAAATCCCAAATGCTCCAAAGTCTGAAACTTTTTGAGTGCCAACATGACACTCAAAGGAAATGCTTATTGGAGCATCTCAGACTCAGGTGTTTGAATTCGAGATGCTAAACCAGTAAGAATAATGCAAATATTACAAAATCTGAAACACATCCCAAGCATTTCAAATAAGGGACACTCAACTGGTATTTTCTTTTATTCTACAGTTTGCCTTTTACCCTGTTGGTTGTGACCTTTGAGGTACAGAAGTTTTTAAGTTTGATATATTTTTGCTTTTACTGCCTGAGCTTTTAATGTCATATCCTAAAAATTATTGACAAATTCATCATCATAAAGCATTTTCCAAATTTGTTTTCCCTAGGAGTTTGATAGTTGTAGTTTTACATTTAGGTTTATAATTCACTTTGAATTAATTTTAACGTGGTGTAAGGTAAGGGTCCAACATCATTGTTTTGCATGTAGATATACAATTTTCCCAACACCATTTGTTGAAGAAACTGTCCTTCACCATTGAGTGGTCTTGGCATCCTTGTGGAAGATCATCAGACCATATATGCCAGGGTTGGTTTCTAAGGTCTCTGTTGTGTTGGTCCATAAGTGTGTCAAGTGTGTCTTTATGCCATGACCACATTTTTTTTTGCTTATTGCAGTTTTGTAATTGTTTTGAGACCTTTAATTTTGTTCTGTTTCAAGATTGATTTGCCTATTCATGGGCCCTGGAGATTCCATATGAATTTTAGGATAGGTTTTTCTGTTTATCAAAAATGTCATTGGAATCTTTATAAGGATTGTATTGAATCTAGGTCACTTCGAGCAGTGTTGACATCATTCCAAGATTAAATCATCTAATCTGCAAACCCAGCTTTTCTTTTCATTTATTTGTGTTTAATTTCTTTCAACAGTGTTTTGTAGTTTTCTCTGTTCAAATCTTTTGCCCTCTTGGTTAAGCTTATTTCTAATTTTTATAATGCTGTTGTAAATGTAATTCTTTTTTTTTTTTTTGAGATGGAGTCTTGCTCTGTCTCCCAGGCTGGAGTGCAGTGGCACTATCTCAACTCACTGCAACCTGCGCCTTCTTTATTCAAGTGATTCTCCAACTTCAGACTCTCAATTACCTGGGATCACAGGTGCGTGCCACCACACCCAGCTAATTTTTTGGTATTTTTAGTAGAGACAGGGTTTCTCCATGTTGACCAGGCTAGTCTTGAACTTGTGACCTCAGGTGCTCTGCCCGCCTCGGCCTCCCAAACTGCTGGGATTGCAGGCATGAACCACTGCACCCGGCCAAATGTCATTCTTTCTAAAAAAATTATTTTCTTTTGTTTTCTCTTTCTTTTCTTTTCTTTCTCTCTCTTTCTTTCCTTTCTTTCTTTTCTTTGAGACGGCGTCTCACTCAGTTTCCTAAGCTGGAGCGCGGTGGCACAATCTCAGCTGACTGCAACCTCCACCTTCCAAGTTCAAGCAATTCTCCTGCCTCAGCCTCCCAAGTAGCTTGGACTACAGGTGTCTGCCACTACGCCCAGCTAATTTTTGTATTTTAAATAGAGACAGAGTTTTACTATTTATATTAGAGATGGGGTTGGCCCAGCTGGTCATGAACTCCTGACCTCAGGTGGTCTACCCGCCTTGGCCTCCCAAAGTGCTGGGATTATAAGTGTGAGCCACTGCACCTGGCCTCTCTTTTTAAAATTTTATTTGCAGATTGTTCATTGTTTGTTTATAGAAATGCAACTGACATGTGTGTGTTATTGTATCCTGAAACATTGTTGAATTTCATTATTTTACCAGTATTTTGTGGAATTTCAGGATTTTTATACATTACATCCTGTTGTCTGTGAACAAAATTTTGTACTTTTTCCTTTCCAATTTGCATGCTTTTTATTACTTTATCTTGCCTAATTATTCTAAGTAGAAATTCAAGTACTGTGGTGAATAGAAGTGGCAGGAAGGGATGTTGCTATTTTATTCCTGATCCTAGAGGAAAAGATTTTAGTTTTTCACTATTGAGTATGATGTTAGCTGTAAGCTTTTCATGTATAATCTTTATTTACTGAGGAGTTTCCATATATTACTAATTCTTTGAGTGTTTTTATTAAAAAAGGTGTTCATCTTGCTCTGGAACCAGATAAATGTTGACCTGATAGAATGGATTGGAATGTCCCCTTCTGGTTTTTAAACATTTTTGAAATATTTTGCAGAGGATTGGCATTAATTCTTCTTGAAATGTTTGGTAAAATTCTCCAGTGAAGTTATCTGGACCTGGAATTTTCTTTTTTGGGGGGTTTTTGATTACTGGTTGAATCTTCGTACTAGTTACAGGTCTCTTTGGATTTTTTATTTCTCCGTGATGCAGTATGGTGGTTTGTGTTTCTAGGAATTTATAAATTTATTCTAGGTTGCCCAGTTTTGTGGCATATGGTTGCTCACATTAGTGTCTTGTAATCTTTTTCATTTCTGTGGCATCTGTTGTACTGTCACTTCTTTTATTTATGATTTTAGTATTTGAGATTTCTCTTTTTTCTTAATATAGCTGTGAGTTTTAAAATTTTTATTGATCTTTAAAAAAACAAACTCAGTGTGTTTTTTTTTTTCCTTTTTTTCTGGTCTTATTCTGCTTATCTCTGCTCTAATCTGTTATTTTCTTCGTTTTGCTTGGTTTGTCATTAGTTTTTATTTTTCCCTTACAGGTGTAATGTTAGGTTATTGATTTGAGATCTTTCTTCTTTTTAATTTAAGCATCTGCAGCTGTAAGCTTCCCTTTAGCATGGGTTTGAGATCTTCTTTTTAATTTAAGCATCTGCAGCTATAAGCTTCCCTTTAGCATGGGTTTGAGATCTTTCTTCTTTTTAATTTAAGCATCTGCAGCTGTAAGCTTCCCTTTAGCATGTATTTCAAATCTTTCTTCTTTTTAATTTAAGCATCTGCAGCTGTAAGCGTCCCTTTAGCACTGCCTTTGTTGCCTTCTCCTGAGTTTGGGTATGTCATGGTTTTGTTTTCATTAGCTTGAACATTTTTTTGTCCTATTGTAATATAATTGTGTTGTTTTTAATAAAGGTAATTAATGAAACACATAATGAATTGTGCTTCTGTTTTTATAATATTTTGAGCATTCTTAACTCAGAAATGTAAATTTTAGAAAAAAAATCCAGGCCAGGCACAGTGGCTCACACCTGTAATCCCAGCACTTGGGGAGACCGAGGTGGGTGGATCATCTGAGGTCAGGAGTTGGAGACCAGCCTGGCCAACATGGTGAAACCCTGTCTTTACTAAAAATAAAAAATATATATATAAAAGTTAGCCGGGTGTCATGGCGGGTGCCTGTAATCCCAGATATTCTGGAGGCTGAGGCAGGAGAATCACTTGATTCTGGGAGGCGAAGTTTGCAGTGAGCTGAGATTGCACCACTGCACTCCAGCCTGGGTGACAGAACGAGAGTCCATCTCAAAAAAAAAAGAAAAAAAAATTTCAGACATATTTATATGTATTTCAATTTAGAAACTGTGATCTCCTAAGTGTATTGACACAGCAACCTGACATAAAGATAAAGAATAATAAGCATATAACAAAATGGAAACTTGCAAATACCTGTTATTTATTAATTTTTAATTATATATATTTAAAAATTGCCAGGTTCAGTGGCTTACACCTGTAATCCCAGCACTTTGGGAGGCTGAGGTGGGCAGATCACATGAGGTCAGGAGTTTGAGACCAGCCTGGCCAACATGGTGAAACCTCATCTCTATTAAAAACCAAAAAATTAGTCAGACGTGATAGCATGCATCTGTAGTCCCAGCTACTTGGGAGACTAAGGCAGGAGACTTGCTTGAACATGGGAGGCAGAGGTTGCAGTGAGCCAAGATAGTGCCACTGCACTCCAGCCTGGGTGACAGAGTGAGACTCTGTCTCAAAAAAATAAAAATTGCCTGGGTGCAGTGGCTCACACCTGTAATCGCAGCACTTTGGGAAGCTGAGGCAGGCAGATCACGTCAGGAAATCGAGACCATCCGGGCTAACATGGTGAAACGCCATCTCTACTAAAGATACAAAAAATTACCTGGGCGTGTTGGTGGGTGCCTGTAGTTCCAGCTACTCCGGAGGTTGAGTCAGGAGAATGGTGTGAACCTGGGAGGTAGAGCTTGCAGTGAGCCGAGATGGCACCACTGGACTCCAGCCTGGGTGACAGAGCAAGACTCTGTCTCAAAATAAAATAAAATAAATCTAAGGTGTGGTTGACATACAAAAATTACACATATTTAATATACACCTTATGTGTTTGTGTGTGTGTGTGTATGTGTGTGACAGAGGTTTTACTCTTTTTGCCCAGGCTGGAGTGCAGTGACAAGATCTCAGCTAACTGCAACCTCCGCCTCCCGGGTTCAAGCAATTCTCCTGCCTCAGCCTCCTGAGTAGCTGGGATCGCAGGCATGCGCCCCCACGCACAGCTAATTTCTGTATTTTTTTAGTAGAGACAGGATTTCACCATGTTGGCCAGGCTGGTCTCGAACTCCTGACCTCAGATGATCCACCTGCCTCAGCCTCCCAAAGTGCTGGGATTACAGGCGTGTGACACCGAATATATACATCTTAATGAGTTTAGAGATAAGTATTCGCCCCAGGACTCATCACAACAAATAATGCCGTAAACTTGACCATCACTTTCCATATATTTCTCATTCTCACTCTTTTTAAAAAATGAGACAGGGAGCGGTGGCTCACGCCTGTAATCCCAGCACTTTGGGAGGCCGAGGCAGGTGGGTCACAAGGTCAGGAGATCAAGACCATCCTGGCTAACACAGTGAAACCCAGTTTCTACTAAAAATACAGAAAATTAGCTGGGCGTGATGGCGGGCACCTGTAGTCCCAGCTACTCGGGAGACTGAGGCAGGATGATGGTGTGAACCCGGGAGGCAGAGATTGCAGTGAGCCGAGATCGTGCCACCGCACTCCAGCGTGGACAACAGAGCGAGACTCCATCTCAAAAAAAAAAATGAGATGACCATTTCACCTAAAATATACCCTCTTAAGTTTTTTTTTTTAAGAAGTGTACAAGACAGCCATGCATCAGAGATATATGTGGGTTTGGTTCCAGACCACTGCAATAAATTGAGTTATACAATTTCTTTTGGTTTCCCAGTGCATGTAAAAGTATGTTTATACTGTGCTGTATAAAGTGTGCAATAGCATATGACTACAAAGTGTGCATACTTTAATTTACAAATACTTTATTGTTAACAAGTGCTAACAGTTATCTGAGCCTTCAGAAAGCTGCAATCTTTTTTTGTGTGTGTGACAGGGTTTTACTCTGTGGCTCAGGCTGGAGTAATTGTAGCATCAACCTCATGCTCAATCAAACCCCCACCTCAGACTCCTGGCTAACTGGGACTACAGGTGCATGCCACCATGTCCAGCTAATTTTTGTATTTTTTTTTTGTAGAGATGGGGTTTTGCCATGTTGCCTTGACGTCCTGGGCTCAAGCAATCCACACACCTTGGCCTCCCAAGGTGTTGGGATGACAGGTGTGAGCCACTGCATCTGGCCAAGTTTCAGTCTTCTAGCTGATGGAGGGTCTTGCCTTAATGTAAGGTGGTGGTTGCTGAGCGTTGCGGTGGCTGTGGCAATTTCTTAAAATAAGACAACATTGAAGTTTGCTGTGTCAGTTGACTCTCCCTTTCACAAAAGAATTATCGGTAGCATACGATGTTGTTTGATAGCTTTTTACCCACAGTAGCACTTTCAAAATTGGATTCAATCCTGTCAAACCTTTGTACTGCTGTACGAACTAAGTTTATGTATTATTGTAAATCATTGGGTTCGATCCTGTCAAGCCCTCCTTCTGCAGTACCAACTAAGTTTATTCTAAATCTGTTGTCATTTCAACAATATTTACACTGTCTTCACCACAAGTAGATTTCATCTCAAGAAACCACTTTCTTTGCTCATCCGTGGAAGCAACTCATCCACACACATTTTCTCCGGAGGCTGCTGCAGTCTCGCCACATCTTCAAGCTCTGTCTCTGATTCTAGTGCTCTTGTTATTTCCACCATATCTGCAGTTACTTCCTACACAGAAGTCGTGAACCACTCAGTGTCATCTGTGAGGGTTGGAATAATCTTCCCAACTTCTCTCCCTCTCTTTTTTTTTTTTGAGATGAAATCTTGCCTGGGCTGGAGTGCAGTGATACGATCTCAGCTCACTGCAACCTCCACCTCCCGGGTTCAAGCAATTCTCCTGCCTCAGCCTCCCAAGTATTTGGGATTACAGTCACCCCCGATCAGGCCCAGCTAATTTTTTTTGTGTTTTTATTACAAACAGGATTTCACTATGTTGGCCAGGCTGGTTTCAAATTCCTGACCTCGTGATCCACGTGCCTTGGCCTCCCAAAGTGCTAGGGTTACAGGCGTGAGCCACCAAGCCCGGCCCCAACTTCTCCTAATGTTGCTATTTTGATCTTCTTTTTTAAATCATGAATGTTCTCAATGGCATCTAGAATGGTGAATCCTTTCTGGTAGGTTTTCAATTATTTTGCCCAGATCCATCAAAGGAATCACTTTCTAGAGAAGCTATAGCTTTATGAAATATATTTTTAAGTGATAAGACTTGAAAGTTGAAATTATTCTTTGATCCAAGGGCACCAGAATGAATGTTGGGTTAGTAGGCACGAAAACAATATTCAGCTCTTTATACATCTCTGTAAAAGCCCTTGAGTACCAGGGGCATTGTCAGTGAGCGGTAATACTTTGAAAGGAATCTTATTTCTTGAGCAGTAGGTGTCAACATTGGGCTTAAGATATTCAGTAAACCGTATTTGTAAACCGATAGTCTGTCATCCAGGCTTTGTTCCCATTTGTAGAGTAGAGGCAGAGCTGTGTTTTATCATAATTCTTCAGGGCCCTTGGATTTTCAGAATAGTAAATCATCATTGGTTTCAAGTTAACATCACCAACTGCATTAGCCCTTAACAAAAGTGTCAGCACATCCTTTGAAGCCTTAAAGCCAGTATCAACTCCTCTCTAGCTGGGAACATCCTAGATGGCATCTCCTTATAGTAGAAGGCTGTTTTGTCTCCATTGCAAATCTGTTTATTGCAGCCATCTTAATCAGTTATCTTCTAGATAGCTTTCTGCAGCTTTTCCATCAGTACTTGCTGCTTTATCTTGCGCTTTTATGTGATGGAGATGACTTTTTTCCTTAAACCTTAAGAAACAAGCTCTTCTAGCTTCAGACTTTTCTTCTGCAGCTGCCTCACCTCTCTGAGTCTTCATAGAATTGAAGAGAGGCTGGGTGCGGTGGCTGTCACACCTGTAATCCTAGCACTTTGGGAGGCCGAGGCAGACAGATCACCTGAGGTCGGGAGTTCGACACCAGTCTGACCAACGTGGAGAAACCCCATCTCTACTAAAAATACAAAAAATAGCCAGGCATGGTGGCGCATGCCTGTAATCCCAGCTACTCGGGATGCTGAGGCAGGAGAATGGCTTGAACTTAGGAGGCAGAGGTTGCGATGAGCCAAGATCGCGCCATTGCACTCCAGCTTGGGCAAGAAGAATGAAAATCTGTCTCACAAACAAAGCAAAAAAGTAAAAAGAGAGGCTTAGGCTTAATGGAATGTTTTTTTTTTATCTTCTATCTAGACTAATTAAACTTTCTTCATAACAGCAGCAAGATTGTTTAGCTTTTTATCATTCATGTGTTCACTGGAGTAGTGATTTAAATTTCTTTCCAGAACACTTCCTTTGCATTCACAACTTGGCTAAGTGTTTGTTGCATGAGGTCTAGCTACTGGCCTGTCTTGCTTACAGTATGCTTTCCTCACTAAGCTTAATTATTTCTTCCTTTTGGTTTAAAGTGACAGACATGCAACTCTTCTTTCACTTGAACATATAGAGGCTATTGTAGGGTTATTAATTGGCCACATTTTAATATTAATAAAAAGAAGCCTGAGAAAAAGAGAGAGAAAGAGAAATGGCACGTTGGTGGGGCAGTCAGAACAAAGGCATTTGTTAATTGTTTGCTGTCTTATCCGGGTGTGATTTGTGGATCCCAAAACAATGACAACAGTAGCATTAAAGATCACTGATTACAGATCACCATAACAGATTCAATAATAAAAAGCTTAAAATACTCTGAGAATGACCGAAATGTGACACAGAGACGTGAAGTGAGCACGTGCTGTAGGAACAATGGTGCCAGTGAGACCTGCTTATTGCAGGGTGGCCACAAACCTTCAATATGTAAAAAACATGATCACAAAACACAAGAAAGCAAAGTGCAGTGAATCAAGATGTGTCTGTCTTTTGATAGACTCTGACAATCTCTATCTTTGAATTGGTACGTTCATACTATTAACATTCCAAGTGATTATTGATATCATTGGATTAATATCTACTTTATTTGTTACTGTTTTCTATTCATTCTCCTCAGTCTTCATTCTTTTGTCTACCACTCTTTTTCTGCCTTTTGAAGTTTTCATTGATGATTTTAGATGACTACATTTTCCCTGTCTTTCTTAGCATATACTTCTCTTTTTAAAACTTTTTTTTAACTACTTGCCACAGAATTTGCGATATACATTTACAACCAATTCAAGTCCACTTTCAAATAACACTATCCCACTATCCCACAAATAAGACTACCTGTTTAACAAACAAAACACCTAACTCCTCAGTAACATTTACAACCAATTCAAGTCCACTTTCAAATAACACTATCCCACTATCCCACAAATAAGACCACCTACTTAACAAACAAAACACCTAATTCCTCAATATACATTTAGAACCAATTCAAGTCCACTTTCAGATAACACTATCCCACTTCACGGGTGACTACCTGCTTAACAAAGAAAACACCTGATTCCTCCCTCCCATCCTTCCATTCCATTCCTTGTATTAGTGTTACTCATTTCACTTGTGTATAAGCATACATAATCTATCTGTGTGTATTTGTTTTTGTCTATGAACTTCTTGGTCAGATCAATTAAGAATAAATACATAGGTTTTTATTGTACCATAATTCTTTCTTTAATGATCTTTTTGAAAAAATGTTGATCCAGGTTTCAGTTATATATCTTTTGTTTCCCTCTAAAGAATTTCATTTAACATTTCTTGCAAGACAGGTCTCCTGGCAACAAGTTTCTTGAATTTTTATTTTTCTGAGGAAGGCCTTAATTCTCCTTCACTTTTGAAGGGTGGTTTCAGTGGGTACAGAAACTTAGGTTGGTGGGGTTTTTTCTGTCAACATTTTGAATTTTTCATTTAACTGTCTTCTTGCTTTCACAGTTTCTGCAATGTTGAATGCAGTTCTTATCTTTGTGTCTCTGTAGGTAAGGTGTTTTCTGTCCCATCTCTGCTTTCTTTCAGAATTTTCCTTTATCTTTTATTTCATATAGTTTGAAAATTATATGTCCAAGTGTAGGTTGTTGGCATTTATGCTGCCTGGTGTTCTCGGAGCTTCCTGGATCTTTGGTTTGGTGTCTGACATTAATACTGGAAGTTCTCAGACATCGTTGTTGCATAACTGACTTCTATTTCTTCTCCTCCTGGTATTCTCATTACTCTGTTTCACCTTTTGTAGTTGTCCCACAGTCTTGGATATCATCTTCTGTTCTTTTCAGTGTTTCTTTTCTTTAGTTTTCGAAGTTTCTGATGATAAATCCTCAAGCTCAGAGATTCTTTACTCAGCTGAGTCCAGTCTACTAATAAGCCATCAGAGGTATTCTTCAGTTATTTACCACATTTTTATCACTACATTATGTTGAAGGTTCTTACGTTGTCTGTCTTTCTGATTACATTACCCATCTACACTTGATTGCTGTCTACTTCATTCATTAGAGCCCTTAGCATATTGTCAAGAGGTTTAAAAAAAATCCAAAATCATATTTTTGTCTGCTTCTGAAGCTTGCTCTGTTGACACAAATTGTATTTTTTTTCTTTTTTTGGATTTTAGTATGCCTTGCAATTTTTCCCCTTTATTCTCATGCATGAAGTACCCACTAAAAGTGACTGCTGTTAGTATATCTTCAGTAATGTGGTGATGAGGTGACAGGACAGGTGAGGCTTTCTTAGTCTCTTTAGGCTACTGTAACAAAATACTTTAGACTGAGTAATTCATAAACAAGAGAGATTATTGCTCACAGATCTGGAGGCTGGAAAGTCCAAGACTAAAGGGCCAGGATATTTGGTGTTTGGTGAAGGTCAAACATTCAGACACTTGCAATGACTATAATGACAGCAGAAGTCTTCAGGAATCCTATGTGAGGGACAAACACTCAGAAGCCAGCTGGAGTGTTCTAGAAACCTATGTGAGGGACAAACATTCAGAGCCCAGCAGCAGTGTTCTGGAATCCTATGTGAGGGACAAACTTTCAGACCCTCGTAGCAGGGTTCTGGAATCCTATGTGAGGGGCAAACGTTTAGACCCTCATAGCACTGTTCTGGAATACTATGTGAGGGACAAACATTCAGACCATGGCAGTTCTGAAATGCTATGTGAAGGAAAAACATTCAGACCCTCGTAGCAGTGTTCCTGAATCCTATGTGAAGGACAGACATTTAGACCCTCGAAGCAGTGTTCTGCAGTCTTAAGTGAGGGACAAACATTCAGACCCTCGTAGCAGTGTTCTGGAATCCTTTTTGAGGGACAGACATTGAGACCCCAGCAGCAGTGGTCTGGAATCCTATGTGAGGGACAAACATTCACACCCCAGCAACAGTGTTCTGTAATCGTATGTGAGGGACAAGTATTCAGACCCCAGCAACAGTGTTCTGGAATCTTATGTGAGGGACAAACATTGAGACCCTCGTAGCAGTGTTGTGGAATCCTACGTGAGACACAGACATTCGTACCACAGCAGAAGTGTTCTGGAATCCTATGTGAGGGACAACCATTCAGACCACAGCAGGAGTGTTCTGGAATCGTATGTGAGGGACAAATATTCAGACCCTCATAGCAGTGTTCTGGAATCCTTTGTGAGGGAGAAACATTCAGACCCCAGCAGGAGGGTTCTGGAATCATGTGTGAGGGACCAACATTCAGACACTTGTAGCAGTGTTCTGGAATGCTATGTGAAAGACAACCATTCAGACCCTCATAGCAATGTTCTGGAATCCTATGTCAGGGACATTCAGACCCCAGCCTCAATGTTCTGGAATCCTATGTGACAGACAAACATTCAGACCACAGCAGGAGCATTCTGGAATCCTAAGTGATGGACAAACGTTCAGACCACAGCAGTAGTGTTCTGCAATCCAATGTGAGGGACAAACATTCAGAGCCCAGCAGCAGTGTTCCGGAATCCTATGTGACAGACAAACATTCCGACCACATCAGGAGGGTTCTGTAATCCTATGTGCAGTACACACTTTCAGACCACAGCAGCAGTTTTCTTGAATCCTATGTGAGGGACAAACATTCAGACCCCAGGAACAGTGTTCTGAAATCCTATGTTAAGAGCAAGCATTGACATCCCAGCGTGAATGTTCTCGAATCCTATGTGAGGAACAAACATTCAGACCACAGCAGGAGTGTTCTCAAATCCTGTGTGAGGAACAAGCATTCAGACCACAGCAGGAGTGTTCTGGAATCCTATGTGAGGGACAAACATTCGGACCCCAGGAACAGTGTTCTGAAATCCTATGTTAAGAGCAAGCATTCACATCTCAGCGTGAATGTTCTCGAATCCTATGTGAGGAACAAACATTCAGACCACAGCAGGAGTGTTCTCAAATCCTATGTGATGAACAAGCATTCAGACCGCAGCAGGAGTGTTCTGGAATCCTACGTGAGAGACAAACATTCAGACCCCAGGAGCAGTGTTCTGAAATCCTATGTTAAGAGCAAGCATTCACATCCCAGCGTGAATGTTCTCGAATCCTATGTGAGGAGAAAACATTCAGACCACAGCAGGAGTGTTCTCGAATCCTATTTGAGGAACAAGCATTCAGACCACAGCAGGAGTGTTCTGGAATACTATGTGAGGGACAAACATTCAGACCCTCTTAGCAGTGTTCTGGAGTCCTATGTGATGAATAAACTTTCAGACCACAGCAGGAGTCTTCTGGAATCCTATGTGAGGGTCAAACATTCAGACCCCAGCAGTAGTGTTCTGGAATCCTATGTGAGGGCAAACATTCAGACCCACGTGGCAGTGTTCTGGAATCCCATGTGAGGGACAAATATTCAGACCACAACAGGAGTGCTCTGGAATCCTATGTGAGGGGCAAACATTCAGAACCTTGTAGCAGTGTCCTGGAATCTTATGTGAGGGAGAGACATTTAGACCCTCGCAGCAGTGTTCTGGTATCCCATGTGAGGGACAAACATTCAGACCACGGGAGCAGTGTTCTGGAATCCTACGTGAAGGACAAACATTAAGACCCTCGTAGCAGTGTCCTGGAATCATATGTGAGGGACAACCATTCAGACACCAGCAGAAGTGTTCTGGAATCCTAGGTGTGGGAAAAACATTCAGAACCTAGTAGCAGTGTTCTGGAATCCTATGTGAGGGACATACATTCAGACCACAGCAGCAGTGTTCTGAAATCCTATATGATAGACCAATATTCAGACCCTTGCAACAGTGTTCTGGAATACTAGGTGAGAGAGAAATATTCAGACCCTCGTAGCAGTGTTTTGGAATTCTATGTGACTGACAAACATTCAGACCCTCCCAGCCGTGTTCTGGAATTCTATGTGAGGGAAAGACATTCAAACTCCAGCAGCAGTGTTCTGTAATCCTATGTGATGGACAAACATTCAGACCCCAGGAGCAGTGTTCTGAAATCCTATGTTAAGGGAAACAATGAGACCCCAGCACGAATGTTCTGGAATCCTATGTGAGGGACAAACATTCAGATCACAGCAGGACTGTTCTGGAATCCTATATGAGGGATAAGCATTCAGACCCTCGTAGCAGTGTTCTGGAATCCTATGTGAGGGAGCATTCAGAGCACAGCAGGAGTGTTCTGGAACCCCATGTTAGGGACAAACATTCAGAACCTCGTAATATTGTGCTGGAGTGTTCTGGAATCCCATGTGAGGGACAAACATTCAGATCCTCGCAGCAGTGTTCTGGAATTCTATGTGAGTGACAAACATTCAGACTCCAGCAGCAGTGTTCTGTATTCCTATGTGAAGGACAAACATTCAGAACCCAGGAGCAGTGTTTTGAAATCATATGTTGAGGGCAAACACACAGACCCTAGCATCAATTTTCTAGAATTGTATGTGAGGGACATACATTCAGACCCTCGCAACAGTGTTCTGGAATCCTAGATGGGGGACAAACATTCAGACCCCAGCAGCAGGCTTCTGGAATCCTATGTGGGGGACAAACATTCAGACAATGGCAGCAGTGTTCTGGAATTCTATGTGAGGGACAAACACTCAGAGCCTCGTAGCAGTGTTCTGGAATCCTATGTGAGGGACAAACACTCAGAGCCTCATAGCAGTGTTCTGGAATCCTATGTGAGGAACAAACAATCAGAGCACAGAAAAATGTTCTGGAATCCTTTGTGAGGGACAAACATTCAGATCACAGCAGCAGAGTTCTGGAATCCTATGTGAAAGACAAATATTCAGACCCTCGTAGCAATGTTCTGGAATCCTATGTGAGGGACAAACTTTCAGACCACAGCAGGAGTGTTCTGGAATCCTATGTGAGGGACAAACATTCAGACCCTTGTAGTAGTTTTCTGGAATCCTAAGTGAGGGACAAACATTCAGACCTTCTTAGCAGTGTTCTGGAATCCTATGTGAGGGACAAACATTCAGAATTTCATAGCAGTGTTCTGGAATCCTACGTGAGGGATAAACATTCAGACCACAGCAGGAGTGTTCTGGAATCCTACGTGAGGGACAAACATTCAGACCCTCGTGGCAGTGTTCTGGAATCCTATGTGAGAGACAAACATTCAGACCCTCATAACAGTTTTCTGGAATGCTACGTGAGGGACAAACATTCCCACCACAGCAGGAGTGTTCTGGAATCCTATGTGAGGGCAAACATTCAGATCACAGCAGGAGTGTTCTGGAATGCTATGTGAGGGACAAACATTCAGACACTCGCATCAGGCTTCTGGAATCCTACATGAGGGACAAATATTCAGACAATGACAGCAGTGTTCTGGAATCCTATGTGGGGGACAAACATTCAGAGCCTCGTAGTGTTGTGGAATCCTATGTGAGAGACAGACATTTAGGCCACAGCAGCAGTGTTCTGGAATCCCATGTGAGGGACAAACATTCAGATCCGAACAGGAGTGTTCTGGAATCCTATGTGAGGGACAAACATTTAGACCGTATTAGCAGTGTTCTGGAATCCTATGTGAGGGACAAACATTCATATCCTCGTAGCATTGTTATGGAAACCTATGTGAGGGACAAACATTCAGACCTTCGTAACAGTGTTCTGGAATCCTATATGAGGGACAAACATTCAGACCACAGCAGGAGTGCTCTGGAATGTTTTCTGTGGGACAAACATTCAGACCACAGCAAGAGTGTTCTGGAATCCTATGTGAGGGTCAAATATTCCGACCCTTGTTGCAGTGTTCTGGAATCCTATGTGAAGGACCAACATTCAGACACTCCTAGCAGTGTTCTGGAATGCTATGTGACAGACCACCATTTACACCCTCGTACCACTGTTCGGGAATCCTATGTCAGGGACATGCAGACACCAGCCACAGTGTTCTGGAATCATATGTGACAGAGAAACATTCAGACCACAGCAGCAGCGTTCTGGAATCCTATGTGAGGGACAAACTTTCAGACCACGGCAGGAGTGTTCTGGAATCCTATGTGAGGGACAACCATTCAGACCCTCGTAGTAGTTTTCTGGAATCCTAAGTGAGGGACAAACATTCAGACCTTCTTAGCAGTGTTCTGGAATCCTATGTGAGGGACAAACATTCAGAATTTCATAGCAGTGTTCTGGAATCCTATGTGAGGGACAACCATTCAGACCCTCGTAGTAGTTTTCTGGAATCCTAAGTGAGGGACAAACATTCAGACCTTCTTAGCAGTGTTCTGGAATCCTATGTGAGGGACAAACATTCAGAATTTCATAGCAGTGTTCTGGAATCCTACGTGACGGACAAACATTCAGACAACAGCAGGAGTGTTCTGAAATCCTATGTGAGGGACAAAAATTCAGACCCCAGCATGGGTCTTCTGGAATCCTATGTGAGGGACAAACATTCAGACTCTCATAGCAGTGTTCTGGAATACTGTGTGGGGGACAAACATTCAGACCACAGCAGGAGTGTTCTGGAATCCTACGTGAGGGACAAACATTCAGACCCTCGTGGCAGTGTTCTGGAATCCTATGTGAGAGACAAACATTCAGACCCTCATAACAGTTTTCCGGAATCCTATGTGAGGGACAAACATTCCCACCACAGTAGGAGTGTTCTGGAATCCTATGTGAGGGCAAACATTCAGATCACAGCAGGAGTGTTCTGGAATGCTATGTGAGAGACAAACATTCAGACACTCGCAGCAGGCTTGTGGAATCGTACGTGAGGGACAAATATTCAGACAACGGCAGCAGTGTACTGGAATCCTATGTGGGGGACAAACATTCAGAGCCTCGTAGTGTTGTGGGATCCTATGTGAGGGGCAGACATTTAGACCACAGCAGCAGTGTTCTGGAATCCCATGTGAGAAGCAAACATTCAGACCCGAACAGGAGTGTTCTGGAATCCTATGTGAGGGACAAATATTCAGACCCTCTTAGCAGTGTTCTGGAATCCTATGTGAGGGACAAACATTCATATCCTCGTAGCAGTGTCATGGAATCCTATGTGAGGGACAAACATTCAGACCTTCACAGCAGTGTTCTGGAATCTTATGTGAGGGACAAACATTCAGACCACAGCAGGAGTGTTCTGGAATGTTTTCTGTGGGACAAACATTCAGACCACAGCAAGAGTGTTCTGGAATGCCATGTGAGAGACAAACATTCAGAACCTCATAACAGTGTGCTGGAATCTTATGTGAGGGACAGACATTTAGACTCTCGCAGCAGTATTCTAGAATCCCATGTGAGGGACAAACATTCGGACCCTCGCAGCATTTGTCTCAAATTCTATGGGAGTGACAAACATTCAGACTCCAGCAGCAGTTTTGTGTAGTCCTATGTGTGGTACAAACAGACCCCAGGAGCAGTGTTCTGAAATCCTATGTTAAGGGCAAACATTCAGACTCCAGCATCAATGTTCTGGAATCGTATGTGAGGGACATACATTCAGACCCTCGCAGCAGTGTTCAGGAATCCTAGATGAGGGAAAAACATTCAGACACCAGCAGAAGGCTTCTGGAATCCTATGTGAAGGACAAAGATTCAGACAACGGCAGCAGTGTTCTGGATTCCTATGTGAAGGACATTCAGAGCCTCGCAGCAGTGTTCTGGAATCCTATGTGAAGAACAAACAATCAGACCACAGCAGGACTGTTCTGGAATCCTTTGTGAGGGACAAACATACAGACCACAGCAGCAGTGTTCTGGAAACCTAAGTGAGGGACAAACTTCAGACCCGAGCAGGAGTGTTCTGGAATCCTCTGTGAGGGAGAAACATTCAGACCCTCGTAGCAGTATTCTGGAATCCTATGTGAGGGACAAAGTTTCAAAAGACAACACGACTGTTCTGGAATCCTATGTGAGGGACAAACATTTAGACCCTCGTAGCAGTTTTCTAGAATCTTAAGTGAGGGACAAACATTCAGAACCTTGTAGCAGTGTTCTGGAATCCTGTGTGAGGGAGAAACATTCAGACCTTCATAGCAGTGTTCTGGAATCCTATGTGAGGGACCAACATTGAGGCCCTCGTAGCAGTGTTCTGGAATGCTTTGTGACAGACAACCATTCAGACCCTTGTAGCACTGTTTTGGAATCCTATGTCAGGGACATTCAGAGCCCAGCCGCAGTGTTCTGGAATCCTATGTGACAGACAGTCATTCAGACTACAGCAGTAGTGTTCTGGAATCCTATGTGAGGGACAAACATTCAGACCCTCGTAGCAGTGTTCTGGAATCCTATGTCAGGGACCAACATTCAGACCCTCGAAGCAGTGTTCTGGAGTTCCATGTGAGAGACAAACATTCAGACCCTAGTGGCAGTGTTCTGGAATCCTATGTCAGGGACATTCAGACAACAGACACAGTGTTCTGGAATCCTGTGACAGACAAACATTCAGACCACAGCAGAAATATTCTGGAATCCTATGTGAGGGACAAACATTCAGAACACAGCAGGAGTGTTCTGGAATCCCTTGTGTAGGACAAACATAAAGACCCTTGTTGCAGTGTTCTGGAATCCTATGTGAGGGGCAAACATTGAAATCCTAGCAGCAGTGTTCTGGATTTTTATGTGATGGACAAACATTCAGACCCTTGTTGCAGTGTTCTGGAATCCTATGGGAGGGACTAACCCTCAGAACCCAGCAGCAGTGTTCTGGAATCCTATGTGAGGGAGAAAGGCTCAGAATCCAGCAACACTGTTCTGCAATCCTATGGGAGGGACAAACATTCACACCAGAGCAGGAGTGTTCTGGAATCCCATGAGAGGGGAAAACATTCCGACTCCAGCAGCAGTGTCCTTGAATGCTATGTGAGGGACAAACATTCAGACCAAAGCAGGAGTGTTCTGGAGTCCTATGTGAGGGAGAAACATTCAGAACACAGCAGGAGAGTTCTGGAAACCATTGTGAAGGACAAACATACAGACCTTTGTAGCAGTGTTCTGGAATTCTATGTGAGGAAAAAACATTCAGAACACAGCAGGAATGTTCTGAAATCCTATGTCAGGGACAAACATTCAAACCACAGCAGGAGTGTTCTGGAGTCCTATGTGAGTGTCAAATATTCCGACAACAGCAGGAGTGTTCTGGAATCCTATGTGAGGAACAAACATTCAGAACACAGTAGGAGTGTTCTGGAATCCTGTGTGAGGGACAAACATTCAGACCCTCGTAGCAGTGTTCTGGAATCCTATGTGAGGAAAAATCATTCATACCCTCGTAGCAGTGTTCTGGAATCCTATGTGAGGGTTAAAATCTCAGAATCCAAGAGCAGTGTTCTGGAATCCTATGTGAGGGACAAACATTCAGTCCACAGCAGCAGTGTTATGGAAAGCTATGTGAGGAACAAACATTCAGACCATAGCAGGAGTGTTCTGGAATCCTATGTGAGGGACAAACATTCAGACCCTCGTAGCAGTGTTCTGGAATCCTATGTGAGGGTTAAAATCTCAGAATCCAGGAGCAGTGTTCTGGAATCCTATGTGAGGGACAAACATTCAGTCCACAGCAGCAGTGTTCTGGAAAGCTATGTGAGGGACAAACATTCAGACCATAGCAGGAGTGTTCTGGAATCCTATGTGAGAGACAAACATTCAGACCCTCGTAGCAGTGTTCTGGAATCCTATGTGAGGGAAAATCATTCATACCCTCTTAGCAGTGTTCTGGAATCCTATGTGAGGGTTAAAATCTCAGAATCCAAGAGCAGTGTTCTGGAATCCTATGTGAGGGACAAACATTCAGTCCACAGCAGCAGTGTCCTGGAAAGCTATGTGAGGGACAAACATTCAGACCATAGCAGGAGTGTTATGGAATTCTATGTGAGGGATAAACATTCACACCACAGCGGGAGTGTTCTGGAATGCTATCTGAAGAACAAAATTCAGAACCCAGCAGCAGTGTTCTGGAATCCTATGTGAGAGGCAAACATTCAGATGCCAGCAGCAGTGTTTTGGAATCGTATGTGATGGACAAACATTCAGACCCTTGTAGCTTCTTCTGGAATCCTATGTGAGACACAAACACCCAGAACCCAGCAACAGTGTTCTGGAATCCTATGTGAGGAACAAATATTCAGACCACAACAGGAGTGTTTTCTAATCCTGTCTGAAGGAGAAACATTGAGACCCTTGTAGCTGTTTTCTGGAATCGTATGTGAGGAACAAACACTCAGACCACAGCAGGAGTGTTCTGGAATCCTGTGTGAGGGAGAAATATTCAGACCACTGCAGGAGTGTTCTGGAATCCAATTTGAGGGACAAACATGCAGACCCTCTTAGGAGTGTTCTGAAATCCTATGTGATGAACAAACATTCAGATCATAGCAAGAGTGTTCTGGAATGCTATGCGAGGTACAAACATTCAGACCACAGCAGGAGTGTCCTGGAATCCCATGTGAGGTACATACATTCAGACCCTCGTAGCAGTGTTCTTGAATGCTATGTGAGGGACAAAAATTCACACCACAGCAGGAGTGTTCTGGAGTCCTATGTGATGGACAAACATTCAGAACACAGCAGGAGTGTTTTGAAATCCTATGTGAGGGACAAATATTCAGACCACAGGAGTGTTCTGGAATCCTTTGTGAAGGACAAACGTTCAGACCCTTGTAGCAGTGTTCAGGAATCCTATGTGAGGGATAAACATTGAGACCCCAGTAGGAGTGTTCTGGAGTCCCATGTGAGGGACAAAGATTCAGACTTTTGTAGCAGTGTTTTGGAATCTTATGTGAGGGACGAACATTCAGACCACAGCAGGAGGGCTCTGGAATCCTATGTGAGGGACAAACATTCAGAACTTCATAGCCGTGTGCTGGAATCTTATGTGAGGGAGAGATATTTAGACCCTCGGAGCAGTGTTCTGGAATCCCATAGGAGAGACACACATTCAGACCCTCCCAGCAGTGTTCTGGAATTCTATGTGAGGGACAGACATTCAAACCCCAGCAGCAGTGTTCTGGAATGTGATGTGAGGTACAAACATTCAGACACCAGCAGAAGTGTGCTGGAATACTATGCCCTCGTAGCAGTGTTGTGGAATCCTATGTGAAGGACAAACATTCATACCCTCATAGCAGTATCCTGGAATCATATGTGAGGGATAAACGTTGAGACTCCAGCAGAGGTGTTCTGGAATCCTAGGTGTGGGACAAACATTCAAACCCTCATAACAGTGTTCTAGAATCCTATGTGAGGGAAAAACTTTCCGACCACGGCAGCAGTGTTCTGGAATGCTACATGAGGGAGAAACATCCTGACCCTCCTAGCAGTGTTCTGCAATCCTATGTGAGGGACAGACATTTAGACCCTCGCAGCTGTGTTCTGGAGTCCTACGGGAGGGACAAACATTCAGACCCTCGCAGCAGTGTTCTGGAATCCTTTGTGAGAGAGAGACATTCAGACCCTCATAGCGGTGTTCTGGAATCCTGTGTGACAGACAAACATTCAGACCCTGGTATCAGCGTTCTGCCATTCTATATCAGGGACATACATACCCCAGCCACAGTGTTCTGGAATCCTATGTGAGGAACAAACATTTAGACCCTCGTAGCAGTGTTCTGGAATCCTATGTCAGGGACCAACATTCAGACCCTCGAAGCAGTGTTCTGGAGTGTTATGAGACAGATAAGCATTCAGACCGTCGTAGCAGTGTTCTGGAATCCTAAGTCAGGGACATTCAGACCACAGCAGAAATGTTCTGGAATCCTATGTGAGGCACAAACTTTCAGACCACAGCAGGCGTGTTCTGGAATCATACGTGAGGGACATTCAGACTATCGCAAGAGTGTTCTGGAATCCTATGTGAGGGGCAAACATTCAGACTCCAGCAGCGTTGTTCTTCAATGCTATCTGAGGGACAAACTTTCAGACAACAGCAGGAGTGTTCTTGAGTCCTATGTGAGGGACAAACATTCAGAACACAGCAGGAATGTTCTGAAATCCTATGTGAGGGAGAAACATTCAGACCACAGCAGGAGTCTTCTGGAATCCGTTGAGAAGGAGAAATATTCAGGCCCTTGTAGCAGTGCTCTGGAATCTTATGTGAGGGACAAGCATGCAGAATACTGCAGGAGTATTCTGAAATCCTATGTGAGGGACAAACATTCAAACGACAGCAGGAGTGTTCTGGAGTCCTATGTGAGTGTCAAACATTCAGACAACAGCAGGAGTGTTCTGGAATCCTATGTGAGGAACAAACATTCAGACCCCAGCAGCAGTGTTCTGGAATCTTATGTGAGGGAAAAGCATTCGTATCCTCGTAGGGGTGTTCTAGAATCCTATGTGAGGGAAAAAAAACTCAGAATCCAGGAGCACTGCTCTGGAATCCTTTGTGAGGGACAAATATTCAGTCCACAGCAGCAGTGTTCTGGAATGCTATGTGAGGGGCAAACATTCAGACTATAGCAGGAGAGTTCTGGAGTCCTATGTGAGGGACAAACATTCAGACCACAGCAGGAGTGTTATGGAATCCTACATGAGGGACAAATATTCAGACCACAGCAAGATTGTTCTGGAATGCTCTCTTAGGGACAAACATTGAGACCTCAGCAGCAGTGTTCTGGAATCCTATGTGAGAGACAAACATTCAGACCCCAGCAGCAGTGTTTTGGAATCTTATGTGATGTACCAACATTCAGACGCTTGTAGCAGTGTTCTGGAATCCTATGTAAGGGACAAACACTCAGAACCCACCAACAGTGTTCTGCAATCCTATGTGAGGGACAAATATTCAGACCCTCGTAGGGGTGTTCTGGAATCCTTTTTGAGGGACAAATGCTCAGAATCCAGCAGCTGTGTTCTGGAATCCTGTGTGAGGGACAAACATTCAGACCAGTGCAGAATTGTTCTGGAATCCTATGTGAGGGACAAACATTCAGACTCCAACAGTAGTGTTCTTGAATGCTATGTGAGGGACAAACTTTCAGACCACAGCAGGAGTGTTCTGGAGTCCTATGTGAGGGACAAACATTCAGAACACTGCAGGAGTGTTCTGATTTCCTATATGGGGAACAAACATTCTGACCACAGCAGGCGTGTTTTGGAATCCTATGTGAGGAACAAACATTCAGACCACAGCAGGAGTGTTTTGTAATCCTGTCTGAGGGACAAACATTGAGACCCTTGTAGCTGTGTTCTGGAATCGTATGTGAAGAACAAACTTTCAGACCACAGCAGGAGTGTTCTGGAAACCTGTGTGAGGGAGAAACATTCAGACCACTGCAGGAGTGTTCTGCAATCCTATGTGAGGGACAAACACTCATTCCACAGCACCAGTGTTCTGGAATGTTATTTGAGGGGCAAACATTCAGACCATAGCAGAAGAGTTCTGGAATCCTACATGAGGGACAAGCATTCAAACCACAGCAGGAGTGTTATGGAATCCTACATGAGGGACAAACATTCAGACAACAGCAAGATTGTTCTGGAATGCTCTCTGAGTGACAAACATTGAGACCCCAGCAGCAGTGTTCTGGAATGCTATGTGAGGGACAAACATTCAGACAACAAAAAGAGTGTCCTGGAGTCCTATGTGAGGGACAAGCACTCAGAAGCCCACAGCAGTGTTATGGAATCCTATGTGAGGGACAAACATGCAGACCTCAGCAGCAGTGTTCTGGGATCCTATGTGAGGGACAAACATTCAGACCCCAGGAGCAGTGTTCTTGGATGCCATGTGAGAGACAAATCTTCAGACCACAGCAGGAATGTGCTCGAATCCTATATGAAGGACAAGCATTCTGACTCTCGTAGCAGTTTTCTGGAATCCTATGTGAGGGACAAACCTGCAGACCCCAGCAGCAGTGTTCTGGGATCCTATGTGAGGGACAAACATTCAGACCCCAGGATCAGTGTTCTTGGATGCCATGTGAGAGACAAATCTTCAGACCACAGCAGGAATGTGCTCCAATCCTATGTGAAGGACAAGCATTCTGACTGTCGTAGCAGTTTTCTGGAATCCTATGTAAGGGAGAAACATTCAGACCCCAGTAGCAGCGTTGTGAAATCTTATGTGAGGGACAAACATTCAGACCCTCCTAGCAGTGTTCTGGAATCCTATGTGAGGGACAAACATTCAGACCCTCATAGCAGTGTTCTGGAATCCTATGTGAGGAACAAACATTCAGACAACTGTAGGATTGTTCTGGAATCCTATGTGAGGGAGAAACGTTCAGACCCTCGTAACAGTGTTCTGGAATCCTATGTGAGGGACAAACATTCAGACCAGAGCAGGAGTGTTCTGGAATCACATGTGAGGAACAAACTTTCAGAGCACAGTAGGAGTGTTCTGGAATCCTACGTGATGGACAAACATTCAGAACCCAGCAGCAGTGTTCTGGAATATTATGTGAGGGGCAAACGCTCAGACTCCAGCAGCAGTGTTCTTGAATGCTATCTCAGAGACAAACATTCAGACCACAGCAGGAGTGTTCTGGAGTCCTATGTGAGGGACAAACATTCAGATCACAGCAGGAGTGTTCTGAAATCCTAGGTGAGGGACAAACATTCAGATCACAGCAGGAGTCTTCTGGAATCCCTTGTGAAGGACAAACATTCAGACACTTGTGGAAGTGTTCTGGAATCCTATGTGAGGGACAAGCATGCAGAACACTACAGGAGTGTTCTGAAATCCTATGTGAGGAACAAACATTCAGACCACACTAGGAGTGTTATGTAATCCTATGTGAGGGACCAACTTTCAGACCCCAGCAGCAGTGTTCTGGAATCCTATTTAGGGAAAATCATTCATACCCTCGCAGCAGTGTTCTGGAATCCTATTTGAGGGAAAAAAAACTCAGAATCCGGGAGCAATGTTCCGGAATCCTTTGTCAGGGAAAAACATTCAGTCCGCAGCAGCAGTCTTCTGGAATGCTATGTGAGGGACAAACATTCAGATCGTAGCAGAATTGTTCTGGAATCCTATGTGAGGGACAAACAGTCAGACCACAGCAGCAGTGTTATGGAATCCTATGTGAGGGACAGATATTCAGACCACAGCAGGAGTGTTCTGGAATGCTGTCTGAGGGACAAACATTGAGACCCCATTAGCAGTGCTCTGGAATATCATTTAATGGTCAAACATTCAGACCCTTGTAGCAGTGTTCTGGAATCCTATGTGTGGGACAAACACTCAGAACCCAGAAGCAGTATTCTGGAATCCTAAGTAAGGGACAAATATTCAGACCCTCTTAGCAGTGTTCTGGAATCTTATGTGAATGACAATCGCTCAGAATCCAGCACCAGTGTTCTGAAATCATATGTGAAGGAAAAACCTTCAGACCAGAGCAGTAGTGCTGTGGAATTGTATGTTAGAGACAAACATTCAGACTCCAGCAGCAGTGTTCCTGAATGCTATCTGAGGGACAAACATCCTAACCACAGCAGGATTGTTATGGAGACGTATGTGAGGAACAAATATTCAGAAAACAGCAGGAGTGTTCTGGAATCCTATTTGAGGGAAAAAAAACTGAGAATCCAGGAGCAGTGTTCTGGAATCCTACGTCAGGGAAAAACATTCAGTCCACAGCAGCAGTCTTCTGGAATGCTATGTGAGGGACAAACATTCAGATCGTAACAGAATTGTTCTGGAATCCTATGTGAGGGACAGTCAGACCACAGCAGCAGTGTTATGGAATCCTATTTGAGGGGTAAATATTCAGACCACAGCAGGAGTGTTCTGGAATGCAGTCTGAGGGACAAACATTGAGACCCCAGCAGCAGTTCTCTGGAATATCATTTAATGGACAAACATTCAGACCCTTGTAGCAGTGTTCTGGAATCCTATGTGTGGGACAAACTCTCAGAACCCAGAAGCAGTATTCTGGAATCCTAAGTGAGGGACAAATATTCAGACTGTCTTTGCTGTGTTCTGGAATCCTATGTGAATGACAAACGCTCAGAATCCAGCACCACTGTTCTGAACTCATATGTGAAGGACAAACCTTCAGACCAGAGCAGTAGTGCTGTGGAATTGTATGTTAGAGACAAACATTCAGACTCCAGCAGCAGTGTTCTTGAATGCTATCTGAGGGACAAACATCCTAACCACAGCAGGAGTGTTATGGAGACTTATGTGAGGGACAAATATTCAGAACACAGCAGGAGTGTTCTGGAATCTTATGTGAGGGACAAATTTTCAGAACACTGCAGGAGAGTTGTGAAATCCTATGTGAGGGACAAACTTTGAAACCAAACCAGGAGTGTTTTGGAGTCCTATGTGAGTGTGAAACATTCAGACAACAGCAGGGGTGTTCTGGAATCCTATGTGAGGAACAAACATTCAGGCCACAGTAGGAGTGTTCTGGAATCCTATGTCAGGGACAAAGATTCAGACCCTCATAACAATGTTCTGGACTCCTATGTGAGGGACAAACATTCAGACCCCAGCAGCAGTTTTCTGGAATCCTCTGTGAGGGAAAAACATTCATACCCTCGTAGTGGTGTTCTGGAATCCTCTGTGAGGGAATAAAACTCAGAATCCAGGAGCATTGTTCTGGGATCCTATGGGAGGGACAAATATTCACTCCACAGCAGGAGTGTTCTGGAGTCCTATGTGAGGGACCAACATTCAGACCATAGCAGGAGTGTTCTGGAATCCTATGTGAGGGACCAACATTCAGACCATAGCAGGAGTGTTCTGGAGTCCTATGTGAGGGACCAACATTCAGACCATAGCAGGAGTGTTCTGGAGTCCTATGTGAGGGACCAACATTCAGACCACAGCAGGAGTGTTCTGGAGTCCTATGTGAGGGTCAAACATTCAGACCCTCGTAACAGTGTTCTGGAATTTTATGTGAGGCTCATTCAGACCCCAGCAGCAGTGGTCTTGAATGCTATGTGAGGGTCAAACATTCAGAACACAGCAGGAGCGTTGTGAAATCCTATGTGAGGGACAGACATTCACACAACAGCAGGAATGTTCTGGAATCCCTTGTGAAGGAGAAACATTCAGACCCTTGTAGCAGTGTTCTGGAATCCTATGCGAGCGACAGACATTCAGAACACAGCAGGAGTGTTCTGGAGTCCTATGTGAGGGTCAAACATTCAGACCCTCGTAACAGTGTTCTGGAATCCTATGTGAAGGACAAACACTCAGACTCGAGCAGCAGTTTTCTAGAATCTTATCTCAGGATCAAATATTCGGACCCTCGTAGCAGTGTTCTGGAATCCTATGTGAGGGACAAACACTCAGAACCCAGCAGCAGTGTTCTGGAATCCTATGTGAGGGAGAAACATTCAGACAACAGCAGGAGTGTGGTGGAATTGTGTGTGAGGAACAAGCATTCAGACCACAGTAGGAGTGTTCAGGAATCCTGTGTGAGGGACAAACATTCAGACCCTCATAACAGTGTTATACAATCCCATATGAGGGACAGACACTTAACCTAGCAGCAGTGTTCTGGAATCCTATGTGAGGGACAAACATTCAGACCACAGCAGGAGTGTTCTGGAAACCTGTGTGAGGGACAAACATTCAGACCACAGCAGGAGTGTTCTCCAATCCTATTTGATGGAAAAATATTCAGACCCTCGTAGCACTGTTCTGGAATCCTGTGTGAGGGACAAACCTTCAGACCCCAGCAGCAGTGTTCTGGACACCTATGTGAAGGACAAACATTCAGACCCTCTTAGCAATGTTCTGGAATTCTATGTAAGGGACAAACACTGAGAACCCAGCAGAAGTTTTCCGGAATCCTATGTGAGTGACAAACTTTTAGACCACAGCAGGAGTGTTCTGGAGTCCTATGTGAGAGACAAATACTCAGAACCCAGCAGCAGTGTTCTGGAATCCGATGTAAAGGACAAACATTCAGATGCCAGCAGCATTTTTCTGGAATCCTTTGTGAGGGACAAACATTCAGACCCCAGCAGCAGTGTTCTTGAACGTTATGTGAGGGACAAACATTCACACCACAGCTGGAGTGTTCTGGGATCCTATGTAAGGGAGAAGCATTCAGACACTCATAGCTGTTTTCTGGAATCCTATGTGATGGACAAACATTCAGACCCACGTAGCAGTGTTCCAGAATCCTATGTAAGGGAAAAACATTCAGACCCCAGCATCAGCGTTCTGGAATTCTATGTGAGGGACAAACATTCAGACCCCAGCAGCAGTGTTCTGGGATCTCATGTGAGGGACAAACATTCATAGCATCGTACCCGTGTTCTGGAATCCTATGTGAGGGACAAACACTGAGATCCCAGCAGCAGTGTTCTGGAATCCAATGTGAGGGACAAATATTCGGACCCCAGCAGTAGTGTTCTGGAATCCTATGTGAGGGACAAACATTCAGATCCCAACAGCAGTGTTCTGAAATCCTATGTGAGGGACAAACATTCAGAGCATCGTAGCCATGTTCTGGAATCCTATGTGAGGGACAAACACTGAGATCCCAGCAGCAGTGTTCTGGAATCCTATGTGAGGGGCAAACATTCAGACCACAGCAGGGGTATTGTGTAATACTATGTTAGGGACAAACATTCAGACCAGAGCAGTAGTGTTCTGGAATTTTATGTGAGGGACAAACATTCAGACCACAGCAGGAGTGTTCTGGAATCCTTTGTGTAAGACGAACATTCAGACCCTCATAGCAGTGTTCTGTAATCCTATGTGAGGGATGAATATTCAGACCCCAGAAACAGTGTTCTGTAATCCTATGTGAGGGACAAACATTCAGACCCCAGAAGCAGTGTTCTGGAATCCTATGTGAGGGACAGACACTGAGAACGTAGCAGCAGTGTTCTGGAATCTTGTGTGATGGACAAACATTCAGACCACAGCAGGAGTGTTCTGGAGTCCTTTGTGAGGGAGAAACAATCAGGCAACAGCAGGAGTGTTCTGATATCCTATGAGAGGGGCAAACATTCAGACCCTCCTAGCAGTGTTCTGGAATCCTGTGTGAGGGACAGACACTCAGAACCTAGCAGCAGTGTTCTGGAATCCTATGTGGAGGACAAACATTCATACCACAGGAGAAGTGTTCTTTAATCCTATATGAGGGACAAATATTCAGACCCTCATAGCACTGTTCTGGAATCCTATGTGAGGAACAAACCTTCAGAAGACAGCAGCAGAGTTGTGGAGTCCTATGTGAGGGACAAACACTCAGAACCCAGCAGTAGTGTTCTGGAATCCTCTGTGAGGGACAAACATTCTGACCCTTGTAGCAGTGTTTGGGAATCCTATGTGAGGGACAAACGCTCAGAACCCCCCAGCAGTGTTGTGGAATCCTGTGTGAGGGACAAACATTGAGATCACAGGAGGTGTGTCCTGGAATCCTTTGTGAGATTCAGACCACAGCAGCAGTGTTCTGGAATCTTATGTAAGGAACAAACTTTCACACCATAGTAGGAGTGTTCTGGATTCCTATGTGCTGGACAAACATTCAGACCATAGCAGGAGTGTTTTGGAATCCTCTGTGAGGAACAATCGTTCAGACCACAGCAGGAATGCTCTGGAATCCTTTGTGAGGGACAAACAATCAGACCACAGCAGGAGTGTTCTGAAATCCTATGTGAGGTACAAACATTCAGACCCTCGTAGCAGAGTTCTGGAATCCTGTGTGAGGGACAAACATTCAGACAACAGCAGGATTGTTCTGGAATCCTTTGTGAGGGACAAACAATCAGACCACAGCAGGAGTGTTCTCGAATCCTATTTGAGGGACAAACATTCAGACCCTCGTAGCAGTCTTCTGGAATCCTATGTGATAGACAACTATTCAGACCCAGCAGCAGTGTTCTGGATTTCTGCATGAGGGACAAACATTTAGAGCCATGTAGCAGTGTTCTGGAATCGTAAGTGAGGGACAAACACTCAGAACCCAACAGCAGTGTTCTGGAATCCAAAGTGAGGGATAAATATTCAGTCCACAGCAGGAGTGTTCTGGAATACTATGTGAGGCGCAAACATTCAGACCGCAGCATGATTATCCTGGAATCCTATGTGAGGGACAAACATTCAGATTCCAGCAGCAGTGTTCTGGAGTCCTAGTGAGGGACAATCATTCAGACCCTCGTAGCAGTGTTCTGGAATCCTAAGTGAGGGGAAATACAACCCAGCAGCAGTGTTTTGGAATCCTATGTGAGGGACTAACATTCAGACCACAGCAAGAATGTTCTGGAATCCTATTTGAGGGACAGATATTCAGACCCTCGTAGCAGTGTTCTGGAATCCTATGTGAGGAACAAATATTCAGACCACAGCAGCAGTTTTGTGGAGTCCTATGTGAGGGACAAACACTCAGAACCCTGCAGTAGTGTTCTGGAATCCTACGTGAGTGGTAAACATTCAGACCACTGCAGGAGTGTTCTTCAATCCTTTGTGAGGAACAAACATTCAGTCCACAGCAACAGTGTTCTGGAATCCTATGTGTGGGCAAACACTAAGAACCCAGCAGCAGTGTTCCAGAATCCTATGTGAGGGACAAACAATCAGACCCTCTTAGCAGTGTTCCTGAATTCTATGTGAGAGAGAGACACTTGCAACCCAGCAGCAGTGTTCTGGACTCCTATGTGAGGGTCAAACATTTAGACCACACTAGCAGTGTTCTGTAATCCTATGTGAGGGAAAAACATTCAGACCACAGCAGGAGTGGCCTGGAATCCTATGTGAGGGAGAAACATTCAAACCCCCGTAGCAGTATTCTGGAATCCTATGTGAGGGACAAACTTTCAGACCCCAGCAACTGTGTCCTGGAATCCTATGTGAAGGAGAAATGTTCAGACCACAGCATCAGTGTTCTGGAATCTTAAATGAGGAACAAACATTCAGACCACAGCAGGAGTGTTCTGGAATCCTATGTGAGGGACAAACACTCTGACCACAGCAGGAGTGTTCTGGAATCCTACGTAAGGGACAAACATTCAGATCCCATCTGCAGTGTTCTGGAATCCTATGTGAGGGACAAATATTCAGACCACAGCAGGAGTGTTCTGTAATCCTATGTGAGGGGGAAACATTCACACCCTCGCCACGGTGTTCTGGAATGCTATGTGGGGGACAAACCATTCAGACCCTCGTAGCAGTGTTTTGGAATCCTATGTCAGGGACAATCACTCAGACCATAGCAGCAGTGTTCTGGAATGCTATGTGAGGCACAAGCAGACCACAGCAGCAGTGTTCTGGAATCTTATGTGAGGGCAAACAGACCCCTGCAAACAGGGATAATTTGACCTCCTCTTTTCCTAATTGAATACCCTTTATTTCTTTCTCCTACCTGATAGCCCTGGCCAGAACTTCCAACACTACGTTGAATAGGAGTGATGGAAAAGGGCATCCCTATCTTGTGCCTGTTTTCAAAGGCAATGCTTCCAGTTTTTGCCCATTCAGTATGATAATGTCTGTGTGTTTGTCATGAATAGCTCTTATTATTTTTACATACATCCCATCAATACCTAATTCATTGAGAGTTTTTAGCATGAAGGGCTGTTGAATTTTGTCAAAGGCCTTTTCTGCCTGTATTGAGATAATCATGTGTTTTTTGTCTTTGGTTCTGTTTGCATGCTGGATTACGTTTACTGATTTGCATATATTGAACCAGCCTTGCATCCCAGGGATGAAGCCATCTTGATCATGGTGGATAAGCTTTTTGATGTGCTGCTGGATTCAGTTTGCCAGTGCTTTATTGAGGATTTTTGCATCGATGTTCATCAGGGATATTGGTCTTAAATTCTCTTTTTTGGTTATGTCTTATCCAGGCTTTGGTATCAGGATGATGCTGGCCTCATAAAATGAGTTAGGGAGGATTCCCTCTTTTTCTCTTGATTGGAAGAGTTTCAGAAGGAATGGCAACTTCTCCTCCTTGTACCTCTGGTAGAATTAGGCTGTGATTCCGTCTTGTCCTGGAATTTTTATGGTTGGTATGCTATTATTGCCTCAATTTCAGAGCCTGTTATTGGTCTATTAAGAGATTCAACTTCTTCCTGGTTTAGTCTTGGGAGGGTTTATGTATTGAGGAATTTATCCATTTCTTCTAGATTTTCTAGTTTATTTGCATAGAGGTGTTTACAGTAGTCTCTGATAGTAGTTTGCATTTCTGTGGGATTGGTGGTGCTATCCCCTTTATCATTTTTTATTGTGTCTATTTGATTCTTCTCTCTTTTCTTCTTTATTAGTCTTGCTAGTGATCTATCAATTTTGTTGGTCTTTTCAAAAAACCAGCTCCTGGATTCATTGATTCTTTGAAGGGTTTTTTGTCTCTATCTCCTTCAGTTGTGCTCTGATCTTAGTCATTTCTTGGAAGTCAAATTGTCCCTGTTTGCAGATGACATGTTTGTATATCTAGAAAACACCATCATCTCAGCCCAAAATCTCCTTAAGCTGGTAAGCAACTTCAGTGAGGTCTCAGGATACAAAATCAATGTGCAAAAATCACAAGCATTCTTATACAGCAATAACAGGCAAACTGAGAGCCAAATCATGAATGAACTCCCATTCACAGTTGCTTCAAAGAGAATAAATTACCTAGGAATCCAACTTACAAGGGATGTGAAGGAGCTCTTCAAGGAGAACTACAAAACACTGCTCAACAAAATAAAAGAGGACACAAACCAATGGAAGAGCATTCCATGCTTATGGATAGGAAGAATCAATATCGTGAAAATGGCCATACTGCCCAAGGTAATTTATAGATTCAATACCATCCCCATGAAGCTAACAATGATTTTCTTCACAGAATTGGAAAAAACCACTTTAAAGTTCATATGGAACCAAAAAAGAGCCCACATGGCCAAGTCAATCCTAAGCTAAAAGAACAAAGCTGGAGGCATCACGCTACCTGACTTCAAACTATACTACAAGACTACAGTAACCAAAGCAGCAAGGTACTGGTACCAAAACAGAGATATAGACCAATGGAACAGAACAGAGCCCTCAGAAATAATACCACACATCTACAACCATCTGATCTTTGACAAACCTGACAAAAACAAGAAATGGGGAAAGGATTCCCTATTTAACAAATGGTGCTGGGAAAACTGGCTAGACATATGTAGAAAGCTGAAACTGGATCCCTTCCTTACACCTTATACAAAAATTAATTCAAGATGGATTAAAGACTTAAATGTTAGACCTAAAACCATGAAAACCCGAGAACAAAACCTAGGCAATACCATTCAGGACACAGGCATGGGCAAGGACTTCATGTCTTAAACATCCAAAGCAATGGCAACAAAAGCCAAAATTGACAAATGAGATCTAATTAAACTAAAGAACTTCTGTGCAGCAAAAGGCATACCAGTGAACAGGCAACCTACAGAATGGGAGAAAATTTTTGCAATCTACTCATCTGACAAAGGGCTAATATCCAGAATCTACAAAGAACTCAAACAAATTTACAAGAAAAAAACCCATCAACAAGTGGGCGAAGGATATGAGCGGACACTTCTCAAAAGAAGACATTTATGCAGCCAACAGACACATGAAAAAATGCTCATCATCACTCGCCATCAGAGAAATGCAAATCAAAATCACAATGAGATATCATCTCACACTAGTTAGAATGGCGATCATTTAAAAGTCAGAAAACAACAGGTGCTAGAAAGGATGTGGAGAAATAGGAACACTTTTACACTGTTGGTGGGACTGTAAAGTAGTTCGACGATTGTGGAAGACAGTGTGGTGTTTCCTCAGGGATCTAGAGCTAGAAATACCATTTGACCCAGCCGTCCAATTACTGGACATATACCCAACAGAATATAAGTCATGCTGCTATAAAGACACATGCACACGTATGTTTATTGTGACGTTACTCACAATAGCAAAGACTTGGAACCAACTGTAATATCCAAATGTCCAACAATGATAGACTGGATTAAGAAAATGTGGCACATATATGCCAGGGAATACTATGCAGCTTTAAAAAATGATGAGTTCATGTCCTTTGTAGGGACATTGATGAAGCTGGAAATCATCATTCTCAGCAAACTATCACAAGGACAGAAAAACAAACACCACATGTTCTCGCTCATAGGCGGGAATTGAACAATGAGAACACATAGACACAGGAAGGGGAACATCACACACCATGGCCTGTTGTGGGGTGGGGGGAGGGGGGATAGCATTAGGAGATATACCTAAGGTAAATGACGAGTTACTGGGTGCAGCACACCAACATGGCACATGTATGCAAACATAACAAACCTGCACGTTGTGCACATGTATCCGAGAACTTAAAGTATAATAAATATATATATATATATATATATAAATAATTCAATACGGAAAATATAATTAAAAAAAGAAAGAAAATGTGGTATACTATTTGGCAGTAAATAAAGAAAACCCTGTCGTTTGTAAACAACATGGATGAACCTGGAGGACAATATGTTAAGTGAAATAAGGCAGACACAAAAAGACAAATATATCATGACATGACTTCTACTGGTATGTTAAAAAGTTGATCTCATAGAATTACAAAGTACAATGGTGGGTATCAGAGCTAGGGGTAAAGGGGAGTTGCAGTTAATCAGAGGATACATACTTAGAGTTACACAGAAGGAATACATTTCAGGAGATATATTGTAGAGCAAGGTGATTGTAATTGATATGACATATTGTATTCTTGAGAAATAGAAAGTTAATGTTATGTGTATTCATCACAAAAATGATAACTATGTGAGTTGATGTATTTGTTAATTAGCTAGATTTGACCTTTTCACAATGTATGCATACTTTGTCCTTCACATAGGATTCCAGAACGCTACTGCATTGGTCTGAATGTTTGTCCCTCACATTTTACATTACAAAAAACTTGCAATATCCTATGTCAATTAAAAATAAATATTAATAAAGTAATTTTAAAAAGACAAAAAGTAAAAGAAAAAAACAGACCACAGCAGCAGTGTTCTGGAATCCTGTGTGGGGGACAAACATTCAGAAGCCAATAGCAGTGTTCTGGGATCCCATGTGATGGAAAAACATTCAGACATTCCCAGCAGTGTTCTGGAATCCTATGTGTGGGACAAACACCCAGACCCCAGCAGCAGTGTTCTGGAATCCTATGTGAGGTACAAACATTCAGACCCTGGAATCAGTGTTCTGGAATCCTATGTGAGGGACAAACATTCAGATCATTGCATTAGTGTTCTGGAATCCTATGTGAGGGAAAAACTTTCAGACCACAGCAGCCATGTTCTGGAGTCCTATATGACGGACATTCAGACCCTCATAGCAGTGTTCTGGAGTCTTATGTGAGGGACACGCATTCAGACCACATCAGGAGGGTTCTGGAATCCTATGTGAGGGACAAATAATCAGACCCTCATAGCAGTGTTCTGGAATCTTGTGTGAGGGACAAACATTCAGACCCCAGCAGCAGTGTTCTGGAATCCTACGTGAGGGACAATCATCCAGATCATTGCGTTAGTGTTCTGGAATTCTAAGTGAGGGAAAAACATTCATAACCCAGCAGCAGTATTTTGAAATGCTATGTGAGGGACAAACATTCAGACCCCAGCAGCAGTGTTCTGAAATCCTACGTGAGGGAGAAACATTCAGATCATTGCATTAGTGTTCTGCAATCCTGTGTGAGGGACTAACACTCAGACCCCGGGAGCAGTGTTCTGGAATCTTATGTGAGGGCAAACATTCAGACCCCAGCAGCAGTGTTCTGGAATCCTATGTGAGGGACAAACATTCAGACCATGGCAGCAGTGTTCTAGAATCCTATGTAACGGACAAACATTCATAACCTCGTAGCAGTGTTCTGGAATCCTATGTGAGGGACAGACTTTTAGACCCTCGCAGCAATGTTCTGGAATCCTATGTGAGGGACAGACTTTTAGACCCTCGCAGCAATGTTCTGGAATCCTATGTGAGGGAGAAACATTCAGACCCTCGCAGCACTGTTCTGGAGATCTATGTGAGGGACAAACATTCAGACCCCAGCAGCAGTGTTCTGGAATCCTATGTGGGGGACAAACATTCAGATCACGACAGCAGTGTTCTGGAGTCCTATGTAACGGACAAATATTCAGAACCTCGTAGCAGTGATCTGGAATCCTATGTGAGGGACAAACTTTCAGACCCCAGCAGCAGTGTTATGGAATCTTATGTGAGGGACAAACATTCTGACCCTCTTATCAGTGTTCTGGTATTCTATGTGAGGGACAGACATTCAGACCCCAGCATCAGTGTTCTGGAATCCTGTGTGAGGGACAAACATTCAGACCCCAGGAGCAGTGTTCTGAAATCCTAGGTTAAGGATAAACATTCAGACCCCAGCATCAATGTTATGGAATCCTTTGTAAGGGACAAACATTCAGACCTTCATAGCAGTGTTCTGGAATCTTATGTGAGGGAGAAACATTCAGACCTCAGGAGCAGCGTTTTGGTACCATATGTGAGGGACAAACACGCAGGCCCCAGCAGCCGTGTTCTGGAATGCTATGATTGGGTTTATACTGTGAACCTCAGAAGTGTTCCTCTGTTTAATTAATTTTCCACCTTAGGTGGAACATGACTAGAATGGGCTACAGTGGAAGGGATAATTTCCTTCCCCTATGTTATTTAGTCTCTGATTATACTAGAGCAGATTAGGCTGAAGTTAAGTAGTTTCTCCTGTGGACAAGCCTTGTTAAGAACTTGGTGCTCTGGCATATTTCAAACTGGTTTTCCTTTTTCCTTCTGAAAGACTGAAGCAGGAGTGGAGTTTCCTCAGGTATTTGTCACAGGAGCCTGGTGAAGCTCCATGAGACAATTTTACAGTATTGTCCCCCCTCCCCAACAGTAACTCTATCTCTTGTAGTTTTTACCACTTAGAGTTGTCCACGCGGATCCTCCAGCCGTTCACCAGTTACGGTTTGAGATTTTCTACTCCAGCACTGGTTCCAAGGTTGGTTTCAGTAGTGAGTCCATGTTCCTTTAAGCCATTAAGTCCTATATTCACTTCTTTGTCTCTGCAATCCTAGGGGCAGTGGTTTGCCCTGTGTCCTCCCCTAAGTTTCAAATCTAGAAAGAATTGTTGATTTTTTAGTCTCTTCAGCTTTTTATTTGTTGTTAAGATTAATTGTGTCATATTAATTTGTTGTTAAGCTTGTTATAAAAATTAATTATTGTAAAGTAATTATTGATTACTTCCAAGCTTCTTACATGCAGAAATAGGAACCTGGAATATGTTTCTAAAACTATCTTCTCAATGCCTATGTGCACAGTTAAAGGATTTTTTTCCACAGGAATATGATCAAGATGAATTATATTAGACTTCTGAATATTGAACTTTTCTTTATTCGTGGAATAAACTCAGAAAGTTCCTTCTTGGTCTTCACAGTCTATTTCTCTTCCAGTGTAAATGTTAGTGTTTCTGTAGATTCTGTACTTGTTTCTTTTATTCTTTCCTTCTCTTATTTTCATTTGGTCTGATGGATTCAGGTAGCATTGAAATTCTGGTAATTTCCAAATCTTTATCTTTAGTTTGATCTCTCTTCTGAACCACTGGAGCTATATTCCCAATTGCCAGTTGAACATTCCCACATATGGAACGTCAGATGTTTCACACATGAGATGTCCAGGTCTGTGTCACTTCTGGTTATCATATTCTTTTAATTTTTTTGCAAATTTCACTTCACAGCACCAGTACCAAACTAGCTGGATCAGGGCAGATAACTTGGAAACAAAACTCCCGTTTTTACCCACTGCACAGTAAATTGGTACCAAATCCTGTTTCTACATTTTTTTCCTTTTAAGAACTGCTTCCCTATTGTGTATTCTTACACTCCGTGTCCTCATGTACTGATGTAGGTGGTCGTCTGTCTTCCTCTTTACTCCCTTCTGGCTTTCCCTTAAGCCCTTTCCCATTCTCTTTCTCAGGGATGGCTGTTAAAATGCCAATATGGTCATGTAACTTTTCTGTCCTTACTGGACCTCCTTATTTACACCTGTTTGTGAAGTGGCTGTGTTCACCCTGGGTGGATACAGAAATTTTTTGTCCCGTAGAAAGGAAATTTTGAAATGCCAGTGTATATGATTTTAATTAAGTATACTCACCCTTTTGTTTCCATGGGTTTTGCATCTGCAGATTCAGCCAACTTCAGATTGAAAATATTCCCACAAAAATAGATGGTTGTCTCTGTGCAGAGCATCTACAGAAATTTTTCTTGTCATTATTTCCTAAACGGTACAGTATAACAGCTATTTATGTAGCATTATATTGTCTTCAGTATTATATGTAATCTAAAGATTTTAAGTTCAGTCGTGCATGGCTTACTGATGGGATTACTTTCTGAGAAATGCAACCTTAGGTAATTTCATTGTTTTGTGAACATCATAGTGTTACAAAAACCTACATGGTATGTATATTTTTATTTATATGTTTTTGGTATATGGGTAACCAGATGGCTCAGAGCCATTATTGAATATCACTTTCTGCACTTCATCTGCAATGCCAATATCAGGTTTCCGTGTATGTTTCATCATCATCTTATGGGACTACTGTGATATACATGTTTCATCATTGACTGAAATGTTATTATGGAGCTCATGACTGTATACAGGAGTATGTGCATAAGTTATATGTAAATATGAGACTTGTTTATATAACAGAGTTATCCAATCTGTGGATTTTGGTATCTGGGGGTATCTTGGAATCAGTCCCCATGGATACTGAGGAAGTAATGTAATGTAAAAATGATAGGTGCATAAAAATTTTTGAAATTAAGTCAAATATTTAAATGCAGAATCACTGCATAATCAATTCCTTAAATATTGCATTTAGCTTTCATCACTGCCCAGGATCATTCATCTAGGCATGGTGCTGTCCAGAGTTCCATTAAAGTGGTGTGTGTTCACTTTGCCTTTGTCAGTAGACTTCTGATATTTTCTCATAGTCATGAGAATTCATGGTTCATGTGGAAGAGCCAATCACCTGATTTTTCAGTAAAGTCGAATCTCTTGATGCAAAATAAACAAAATTTATTTTCTCCTTCTCTCTTATCTTAGTCTGCATTGAACTTGTGTCTCAATGAGTTCACCTAAACATTATTCCCAGTATGTGTTTATACTTATATATTCATAACCAGATCATGAGCTCCTTTGAGGAGTAGAATTTTATTTCTCTTTTTTTTTGAGAGATAGGCTCTCTGTTGGCCAGGCTGGAGTGCAGTGGTGTGATCATCACTCACTGCACTGTCAAACTCCTGTGTTTGAGCAATCCTTCAGCCTCAGCTTCCAGAGTAGCCAGGACTACAGGCATCCAGCATTATGCCTGTATTTTTTTATTATTTTTGAAGAGAGAGGGTCTTGCATTTTGTTTATACTTTTGTCCCTAGCAACAAGAGTGGTTCTAGATCTATAAGGTGAAATTTGTAATATAATTTTATTAATTCATAAGTTATTACAGTGGAAGAATATTTCTACTGTGATTACTCCTTCTCCCACCATAAACAGTATAAAACAAACTACGTCTTATCTAAAATACATATAAGACACATGGACACACAAAAGAGTGAATTCCCAGATTCTTGTTCTTTTGACCCTGGGCTGATGCTTTGACTTGAGGAAATATGTGTCATTACAGGGGTTGGTGTCCTTTGAAGATGTGGCTCTGCACTTCACCTGGGAGGAGTGACAGGACCTGGATGATGCTCAGAGGACCTTCTACAGGGACGTGATTGTGGAGACCTACAGCAGCCTGGTATCATTGGGTGAGTGAAACTTCCCAGTAACTCCCAGGAATGTGTATTGTTGTTGGTAAATATAGAAACCCTTTTAAGATATAATAATATTTACTTGTAAGATTCTGGTTGATGAAAAATGTGTCATTATTCTAATGAAATGTTCAAATTGGCTCCTTCATTACACAGTCCCTGAAGCCCAGCTCTTGTCATTCTGAAAAGGATTTGACTTAGTGGTTTGACAAAGTATTCCATTGTTTCTCGTTACCAGGGCATTGCATTACCAAACCTGAGATGATCTTCAAGCTAGAGCAAGGAACAGAGACATGGATAGTAGAAGAAATACCAAACCTGAGACTTTCAGGTCAGTCAGTGAATACTGGGGTGGGAGGCCTGGAGGAGTAATGCCCAGCAGATTTTGGTAGTGTTATCTTGTTTTCACCACTTTTTTCCCTAGGTCTTCGACCTGAAGACTGTTGGTCTGCATTAAATGTCCATTATATAGTCCCCAGGAGTAACTGTCATGCATATATCCCAGTCTCTTATTTTTCTGAGTATCTTCTTCTATTTACCCCAAATCCAATCCCTGCCATCCTCTCTTTAGGCCTTTTTCTTTGCTATTTATTTTATCTATTTCCCCCTTTTCCTCTATTCTGATGTAGTGTCTTAAAAATTTTTTTAGACATTTATGCATTTATTTATCCTTTGAATGTATCTTAAGCAATTTTTGAGAATCAGTCATTATAACAATGATGATGAAAATAGTGTTTCTTTTTAAGCTGTAGCTTTATTCTTCTTGTTTTATTTTTTATCAAACAGATGGTTCTCACTCTGTTTCTCAGACTCAAGTGCAGTGGCATGATTATAGTTGACTGTAACGATGAACTCCTGGGATCAAGTGTTCCTCACAGCCTAGCCTCCCAAGTAGCTAGGACTACAGGTGTGTGCCACCACACCTGGCTAATTTTTTATTGTTTGTGGAGATGAGGTCTTGTTCTATTGCCCAGGCTGGTCTCGAACTTCTGGCCTTAATTGATCCTTGTAGACTCCCACCCACACACACACACACAAAATAGTAGCTGAGTATGGTGACATGGGTTTGTAATCCCAGTTTTTATACTTGGGAGGCTGAGGTGGAAGGATTGCTTGAGCTCAGGAGCTTGAAGCTTCAGTGACCTATGATAGCAACACTGCACTCCAGCCTGGGTAACAGAGTAAGATCCTGTCTCAGAAAGAAATTATGAAGCTGAGGAGAACCCATCATAGGGGCCTGGATAGGGGTGGTGCTGGACTTGGGAGGAGAACCAGAAGATTCTGGGTCTCAAGTCCAAAGAAACCAATGATTTCCTGTTGAAGGGCTCAGATTTCTGTTTGAGAGTGGAGTTTGTAGTTACCATTTGAAGATGAGAAATGTACAGGAAACTTCATATTTATATATAGCTGTGTGACATCTGAAACTCCAAAACACAAAATAAAACCCTTCAAAAATGGTGAATTATCAAGCAGGGGTGTGTGAGTGGAGAGGGACAGAGCTGTTGATCTCAGAAGGAACCAGAAATACACTTTTCAAAGATGACGGGCACAGCCTGAGTTGCAGAACCAATCCTTCAGATCACTAGTGTGGTTTTTTGACTGGAGCTTCTTTGCCTATTATGGTTCTGGGAAGCAGGAGATGCCATGTTTAAGTAGGAATTTGCCAGGATCTGTTTATGTTTAACATGGGGAATAAGATATTTTCTGCTTGGAAAACCTCCAGACACATTTAACCATTCTCAGGGAGGAGTGAAAAGTTAACATATAGGCAAAATCCTGTCTACAAGCTACTTCGATGCTTAGGAGACAGAAAAATGGCCATCTCCTGTACCTGCCAGTTGCTGACCCAAGAAAAACTGGCTATCTTCAAAGAAGAATGATGAAAAAATAGCAACTATTAAAACAGCCACTATTGTTATATGAATAAATAGAAAAAAAGAGAGAAAACAAATGACAGATAATGAGCACTTATTAAAACCTATGAGTAGTAAGTAGATGCATATTATTACCAAATAATTCTTTGTGAAATAAAAAAAAAACGAAAACTTCAAAATGCAAAGAAAAACTCAATTGAACATTAGAAAATATACTGATTTATTACATGATGTCAGAAGGAACAGGAACCATATGCATATAAAACCAATACCCATTATTAATTTTTATCAAATCTTACTCCACTGGGATAGGAAGTAATTTTTTCACCTTTACACAAGCATTCTGTAAGACATGCTCCTGTGTGGTTCATGGATACGTTTTTCTCATTTCAGCTGTCCAGATCACTGATGACCTTATTGAAAGGAGCCATGAAAGTCATGATAGATTTTTCTGGCATATTGTAATCACCAACAGCAACACATCAAACTCAGGAGAGAGTTGAATTAGGAAAAACATTTAATTTTAACTCAAACCATGTTTTAAATCTGATTATAAATAATGGAAACAGTTCAGGAGTGAAGCCTGGACAGTTTAATGTTTGCCAGAACGTGCTTTTCCCTATTAAGCCTGGTGAGACACAGTCTAGAGAGAAACCTCATGTCCCTGATATAATCAGGAGATCCCACAGACATCATGAACATCTTACTCAGCATCACAAGATTCAGACTCTGCTACAGCCTTTTCAATGTAATGAACAAGGGAAAACCTTCAACATGGAGGCAATGTTCTTTATACATAAGAAGGTTCATATAGGACAGACCTTTGGTAAATATAATGAATATGAGAAAGCCTGTAAAAACTCAGCTATTATTGTCCAAGGGATAACTCAGGTAAGACAGCCAACTTGCTGTAGAAAGTCTGACTTCAGTAAACATCAGCAAACACACACAGGAGAGAAACCCCATGAATGTGTTGAATGTGAGAAACCCTCCATTAGCAAATCAGACCTCATGATACAGCACAAGATGCCTACTGAGGAAAAACCTTATGCCTGTAACTGGTGTGAAAAATTGTTCAGCTATAAGTCCAGCCTCACTATCCATCAGAGAATTCACACAGAGGAAAAGCCCTATGGATGCAATGAATGTGGAAAAACCTTTCGCTGTAAGTCATTCCTCACTTTACATCAGAGAACTCACACTGGGGATAAGCCCTACAAATGTATTGAATGTGGAAAAACTTCACTGTAAATCACTTCTCACTTTACATCACAGAACTCACTCAGGGGAAAAGCCCTATCAGTGTAGTGAATGTGGAAAAACCTTTAGCCAGAAGTCATACCTCACAATACATCATAGAACTCACACCTGGCAAAAGCCCTATGCATGTGACCATTGTGAAAAAGCATTTAGCCATAAGTCAAAGCTTATTGTCCATCAGAGAACACACACAGGGGAAAAGCCCTATGAATATAATGAGTGTAGAAAACCCTTTATCAATAAGTCAAACCTCAGGATACATCAGAGAACTCACATTTGAAAAACCCTATGAATGCAATGAATGTGGGATAACGTTTCACCAAAAGTCGTTCCTCACTGTCCATCAAAGGGCTCACACAGGCAAAAAACCCTACGAATGCAATGAACGTGGGAAAACCTTTCACCGTAAGTCATTCCTCACTGTCCATCAGAGAACTCATACTGGGGAAAAACCATATGCATGTAACAAATGTGGAAAAACGTATAGCCACAAGTCATAACTTACAGTACCTCACAGAACTCACACAGGGGAAAAACCCTATGAAAGTAATGAATGTGGAAAATCCTTTTACTGTAAGTTATAAGTCATTTCTAACTATACATCAGAGAACTCATGCTAGCAAAAAACCCTATGAATGTATTGAATGTGAGAAAACCTTTATCAATAAGTTAAACCTTGGGATACACAAGAGAACTCACACAGGGGAAAGACCCAATTAATGTAATGAATGTGGGAAAACCGTTCGTCAGAAGTCAAATCTCAGCACACATCAGGGAACTCACACAGGGGAGAAACCTTACATATGAAATGAATGTTGAAAAACCTTTCATGGCAAGTCATTCCTCACCGTACACCAGAGAACTCACACAGGGGAGAAACAGTATGGATGAACCAAGGTGGAAAAACTTTTTGTCAGAAATCATACCTTATTATACATCAGAGAACTCACACTGGGGAAAAGCCCTATGAATGTAATGAATGTGGAAAATCCTTTCATCAGAAGGCAAATCTTCGGAAGCATCCAGATATTCACACAGGGGAGAAACCCTATGAATGTAGCGAATGTGGAAAAACCTTCAGTCAGAAGTCAGTCCTCACTGTCCATCATAGAACCCATACTGGAGAAAAGCCTTACGAATGTAATGAGTGTGGGAAAACCTTTTGTCACAAGTCAAACCTCAATATGCATCAGGGAATTCACTCAGGAGAGAGAAAACCTGTGAATGTGATGAATGTAGGAAAACTTTTTACCATAAGGCAGTTCTCACCATACATCAGAGAATTCACACAGGTGAGAAGTCATTTGAATGTAAGAAAACCTTCTCCCAGGAGTCAAAACCCTTTGTACAGCACAGAACTCACACAGAGGAAAAACCCTTTAGAAGTAATGAATGTAGGAAAATTTTCTCCCAGAAGTCAGGCCTCAGTATACATCAGAGAACACACACAGGAGAAAAACCTTATGAATGTAAGGAATGTGGGAAAACCTTTTGCCAGAAGTCACACCTCAGCAGGCATCAACAAACCCATATAGGAGAGAAATCTGATGTAGCTGAGGCAGGCTATGCATTCCCTCAAAATCACTTTTTTTCCCCTTGAACACACAACGTACACCTCTCTGGCTACTATTATAGATTTCTCCATGCTCAGTCTAGGAGAATATGGACAAAAATGGTGACCATTACTTCCTGGCCTACCAACAAGAAGGTCTTAACAATGCTGTAACAGAAGTGCTATCATGCAGGCTTTCTTGTTCCCATTTTTACAGCACACTTCGCACTTTAATGTCACAGATATGGCTGTTTTCCTAGAAGTTCATGTACCAACCTCTGCCAGCTTCAAACATTTCTTCTGAAACTTCCTCATCTCTGTTCTCCTCCATAGAATTGAAGAGAGTTAGGGCCTTTCTCAGGATTAGGCTTTGTCTCAGGGGAATGTTGGGGCTGGTTTGATCTTCTATGCAGACCACTCAGACTTTCTCTGTGTCAGTAAAAAGGCTGTTTTGTTTTTTAAAAATCATTCATGTGTTCACTGGAGTAGCACCTATAACTTCCTTCAAGAACTTTTTCTTTGCATTCACAACTTGGGTAGCTCATGCAAGAAGCTTAGCTTTGGCCTCTCTTAGCTTCCAACATGCTTTCTTCACTAAGCTTGATAATTTGAAGTGACAGATGTGCACACTTCTTTTCATTTGAACACATGGTGGCCACTGCAGGATGAAGTGGCCTAATTTCATTGTTGTATCTTGGGGAATGGGGGGCTGGAAGAGAGAAATGGAGATAGGGAAATGTCTAGCCAATGAAGCAGTCAAACACAACACTTTTCCATCATGTTTACTGTCTTCCATAGAGTTCCAGCACACTGAGACAATTCCAATAGTAACATCAGAAATCACTGATCACAGATCATCATAGCGGATGTGATAACTAAAATGTTTGAAAGATTGTGGGGATTGCCAAAAGATGTGACACAGATGTGAAGTGAGCACACGGTGTTGGAAAAATGGTGCTGGTCAGACTTGCTGAGCACTTTGTGGCCACAAATCTTTAATTTGTTAAAAAGGTGATGTTGCCAAGCAAAATAAAGTGAAGCTCGATAAAGTGAGGTGTGCCTCTATTTTGATGGGCTTTAACCACTTGTCTTTTCGTTGGTGCATTTAGACCATGACATTCAAAGTGATTATACAGTTGGGTTAATTTTGCCATATCATTTTCCATTCACTCCTATTGTTCTTTGTTCTTGCTTTGTCCTCCACTCTTTTTCTGCCTTTTATGGAGTTGATGATTTTATATGATTTTTATTTCCTCTCATTACTTTTTTTTTGAAATTGAAACAGCATTCACCCAGGCTGGAGTGCAGTCGTGTGGTCATGGCTCCCTGCAGACTCAACCTCGTGGGTTTAAGTGATCTTTCCACCTCAGCCTCCCAACTAGCTAGGACTACAAGTATGCAATTAACTAGGATTACAGGTATGCAATTAACTAGGACTACAAATATGCAATTAACTAGGACTACAAGTATGCAATTCACTAGGACCTCAAGTATGCAATTAGGTAGGACTACAAGTAAGTCATTAGCTAAGACTACAAGTATGCAATTAGCTAGGACTACAAATATGCAATTAGCTAGGACTACAAGTATGCACCACAATACCTGGCCTTTTCTTTTCTGTAGGGACAGGGTCTCACTGTGTTGCTCAGGATAGTCTCTAACTCCTGGACTCAAGCCATCTTTCTACCTTGGCATAAGTCACTATACCTGGCCTGTTTCCTCTTTTTAGTATTTTTATACTTTGGTTTTTACTAGTTGCCCTGGAGTTTGCAGTATAGACTTGCAATAAATCCAAGTCCACCTTCAAATAACACTATACTAGTTCAGTTACTTTGACGGCCTTCTAATAGAAATGTAATACCAGCTTCTCTCATATTCCCATCTCTTGTGTTATTGTTGCCATTTGTTTCACTTATATGTAAGCATACATAGCCTTGTATATATTAAAGTATGTAATTGGTTGGGTGCCTTGGCTCACGCCTGTAATCCCAACACTTTGGGAGGCCGACGCAGGTGGACCATGAGGTCAGGAGATGGAGACCCTCCTTGCTAACACAGTGAAACCCCATCTCTACTAAAAATACAAAAATTAGCTGGACATGGTGGCACACGCATGTAGTCCCAGCTATTCAGGAGGCTGAGACAGGAGAATTGCTTGAACCAGGGAGGAGGTGGAGGTTGCAGTGAGCTGAGATTGCACCACTGCACTCCAGCCTGGGCGACAGAGCAAGACTCCGTCTGAAAAAAAAGTATATAATTGCATACATTGTTATTATATACAAACTGTTATATGTTAGGAGAATTAAGAATAAAAAGTAAGCAGCCGGATACGGTGGCTTATGCCTGTAATCCCAGCACTTTGGGAGGCCGAGGTGGGCAGATCACAAGGTCAGAAGCCTGAGACCATCCTAGCTAACATGGTGAAATCCTGTGTTTACTAAAAACACGAAAACAAAATTAGCCAGGCGTGGTGGGTGCCTGTAGTCCCAGCTACTCGGGAGGCTGAGGCAGGAGAATGGCATGAGCCTAGAAGGCAGAGCTTGCAGTGAGCCAAGATCACACTACTGCACTTCAGCCTGGGTGACAGAATGAGACTCCATCTAAAAAAAAAAAGGGATTTTACAACCACTTATTCCTTCTCTAATGTTATTTTTAAAATGTAAATTCAGGCGGGTGTAGTGGCTCACACCTGTAATCCCAGCACTTTGGGAGGTCGAGATGTGTGGATCACGAGGTTAGGAGTTCAAGACCAGCCTGGCAGAGATGGTGAAACACTGTCTCCAATAAAAATACAAAAAAATTAGCCAGGCGTGGTGGAGGGCTCCTGTAATCCCAGCTACTTGGGGGGCTGAGGCAGAGACTTGCTTGAACCTGGGAGGCTGAGGTTGCAGTGAGCCGAGATTGTGCCACTGCACTCCAGCCTGGGCAACAGAGCGAGACTCAGTCTCAAAATAAATAAATAAAAATAAATGAAATGTAGATTCAGTTTTCAGATGTGTATCTTTTTTTTGTCTAGATAATGTTTAACATATTCTTACATAACACATTTGCTGGTAACAAGTTTCCTCAACTTTTGTTTGTCCAAGGAATGCTTTATTTCTCATTTACTTTTGAAAGAAGATCTCACAGGGCACTGAAATCTAATTTGATTTTTTTTCTCTCAGCATGCTTAATATTTCATTCCACTCTCTTTACTTTCATGGTTCTGAGATGTTGAATGTAATTTTTTTTTTGAGACGGATTCTCACTCTGTCACCCAGGCTGGAGTGCAGTGGTGTAATCTCGGCTCACTGCAAGTTCTGCCTCCCAGGTTCACACCATTCTCCTGCCTCAGTCTCCCGAGTAGCTAGGACTACAGGCTCCTGCCACCACGCCTGGCTAATTTTTTGTATTTTATGTGGAGATGGGGTTTCACCATGTTAGCCAGGATGGTCTCAATCTTCTGACCTCGTGATCCACCCAACTTGGCCTCCCACAGTACTGGGATTACAGGCATGAGCCACAAAGCCTGGCCTGAATGTGATTTTTGTTTGTTTGTCTATAGGTTTCTTTGTTTCTCTACCTTTGTTTCTTTGTTTCTCTACCTTTGTTTCTTTGTTTCTCTATAGGTAAGATGTTGTCCACTCCACCTTTGGTCTCTTTTGGAGTTGATGTTTTATACAGTTGGAGAATAATATGCCTAGGTGTAGGTTTTTAGCATGTACACTCTCTGGTGTGCTCTGAGCTTCCTGGATCTTTGATTTGGTGTCTGACATTAACAGTGGAAGTTGTCAAACATGATTGTTGCCGATGTTTCTTCTATTTCTCTCTCCTCCTTCTGGTATTCTCATCACTCTATGTTACACCTTTTGTAGCTGTCCCACTGTTCTTGGATATTATGTTCCATTGTTTTCAGTTTTTAAAGTTTCTTTCACATTTTCAGAGCTCACAGACTCTTTCCTTTGTTGTGTTCAGCCTACTAGTAAGCCAATCAAAGACATTCTTCAGGTCTGTTGCAGTACTTTTTTATCTCTACTGTTTCTTTTTTGTTCTTTCCTTGGACTTCTGTCTCTCTGCTTACATTGCCTATCTGTTCTTGAATGCTGTCTCCTTTGTTCATCAGAGCCCTTAGCATATTACTTAGAGATACTTTTAAAAATCCCTGTCTGATAATTCCAGCATTATAGCTATGTCTTGTTCTGATGATCTGTCACTTCAAATTGTGATTTTTGTCTTTTAGTATGCCTTGTGCTTTTTCTTTATTCCTAGATATGAGATACCAGGTAAAAGGAACTACTGTGACAGTGCATCCTGTAATGATGGGAAGCTATGGAGGGGAGGGGAAGCTGTCTTAGTCCATCCACCAGCATAACTTAGAGCAAGTAATTTGTAAACAACAGAAATTTGTTGCTCAGTTTGGAGGCTAGAAAGTCCAAAGTCAAGGTTCCAAGAGATTCAGTGTTTGATGCGACTCATTCCTCATAGATGGTGCCAGCTATATGTCCTCTCATGTTGGAATGGACAAAGATGCTTCCTTTGGCCTCTTTCATAAGTGCACTAATCCCAATCAGGATGGCTTTGCCATTACATTTCAAAGGCCCCACCACTTAATTCTAGTGCATTGGAGACTTGGTTTCAACAGGCACATTTTGCAGGGGGTCGGGCAGGAAACAAATATTCAGACCATAGCAGAAGTGTTCTGGAGTCTTACGATTGGGCCTCATTGTTTAAGTGAGTCTCTGCTTTTGGACTGTGAACTTCACATGTGTTTCTCTGTTTTTATCTTCCCCTTTAGGGATGAGTGTAGTAGGCTGGAGTTCGTTATTTCCCTTCCAGCAGGTCATTTAGGATCTGATTATATGAGAGCAAGTTAAGCTGAGGTTCAGTAATTTCTCCTGAGGACAAGCCTTGTTAAGAACAGGGTGCTCTGGCATATTTTAAGATGGTTTTCCTTTTTCCTTCCCAAAGGTGGAAGCAGGAAGCGAGTTTTCTCAGGTGTTTGCCACAGGAGCCTGGTGAAGCTCCAGGAGGTAAATTTTACAATATTATGCTCCCTCATACCTGGATATCCCTGGCGTTTTTACCTCCTTGTGTTGTCCATATGGAACCTTCAGCAATTCACCAGTTATTGTTCAAGATTTTCTACTCCAGCACTGGTTCCTAAGGTGGTTTCAGTAGTGAGTCTCTGTTCCTGTAAGCCATAAATTCCTATATTCACTTCTCTATCTCTCCAATCTTGGGGGCAGTGGCTTGCCCTATGTCCTCTCTTCACATTCAAATCCAAAAAGGATTGTAGATTTTTCAGTCTCTTCAGCTTTTATTTGTTTTATTAAAAAAAAGTTTTTTAGAGTTGGGGGTCTCACTATGTTGCCCCGGCTGGTCTCAAACTCCTAGACTCAAGGGAACCTCCTGCTTTGGCCTCCCAAAGTGCTGGGATGATAGGCATGAGCCACAACACCTGATCTTTTCAGCTTTTCATGTGTTAAGATGGACTGATTACTTCCATTCTTTTTTTTTTTCCTTTTTTTGAGTTGGAGTCTCACCTTGTTGCTGAGGCTGGAGTGCAGTCGTGCAATCTCAGTTCACTGCGACATCTAGCTCCCAGGTTCAAGTGATTCTCCCTGCCTCAGCCTCCTGAGTAGCTGGGATTACAGGCACCCACCACCATGCTGGCTAATTTTTGTATTATTATTATTTTATTTTTTAATTTTTTGAGGCAGAGCTCACTCAGTCATCCAGGCTGTAGTACAGTGGCTTGATCTTCGCTTACTGCAACCTCCACCTCCCAGGTTCAAGCAATTATTCTGCCTCAGCCTCCCAAGTAGTTGGTACTACTGGCAAACACCACCAAACTTCGATAATTTTTGTATTTTTAGTAGAGGTTCGGTTTTGCCATGTTGGTCAGGTTGGTCTCAAACTCCTGATTTCAGGTGATCCACCCACCTCAAGCTCCCAAAGTGCTGGGGTTACAGGTGTGAGCCTCTGCGCCCAGCCTAATTTTTTTTTATTTTTAGTAGAGATGGGGGTTTGCCATGTTGACCAGGCTGGTCTTGAACTTCTGACTTCAGGTGATCTGCCCACCTTGGTCTCCCAAAGTGCTGGGACTACAGGCATGAGCCACTGCACCTGGCCACTTCTAAGCTTCTTACATGCAGAAATCAGAACCTGGAATCTGTTTCTAAGACTTTTCTTCTTAATGCCTATGTGGACAATTAAAGGATTTTTCTCCTCAGGACTCTGAATATGATGAATTGTATTAGTAGACTTTCTAATATTGAGCTTTTCTTAATTTGTGAAATAAACTCAGAAAGATCCTTCTTGGTCTTAACAGTTTATTTCTCTTTGTAAATATTAGGGATTCTGTGGATTCTGTACTTGTTCCTTTTTATCCTTTCATTCTCTTAGGTTCATTTGGTCTGATGGATTCAGGTACCATTGAAATTCTGATAGTTTCAAAATCTTTATCTCCAGCTTTGATCTCTCTTGTGAACTCTGGAACTGTATTCCCAATTGCCAGTTGGGCATCCCTACATATGGGACCTCAGATATTTCCAACATGACGTGTCCAAGTCTGTATCACTTCTGGCCATCATATTGTTCTTTATTTTTCCAAATTTCACATCACCAGTAACAAACTAGCTGTAATCATGGCAGATAGCCTGGAAACAAAACTCCCCTTTTTACCCTCTGCACAGCAAATTGACATCAAATCCTGTTTCTACTTGTTTTCCTTTTAACTATTGCTTCCCTATTCTGTATTCTCACTGCTCCATCTTCTGATGTAGGAGGTCATCTGTCTTTCTCTTTTCCTCTCCTCTGACTCTTAAGCCCTTTCCCATTCTCTTTCTCAGGAATGGCTGTTAAAATGCCAATATGGTCATGTAACTTTCCTGTACTTAGTGAACCTCCTTATTTACACCCTGTTTGTGAAGAGGCTGTGTTCACCCTGGGTGGACACAGAATGTTTTTGGCATGTACAAAGAGAATTTTATGCTGCCTGTGTAGAGCTACTAATTTGTAAGTACACTCAGCTTTTTGTATCTGTAGGTTTAATATCTGTGTATGTAAACAAACTTGGATGCAAAATATTTGAAATAAAATCAGACGCTTGCATCTGTAGTGAACATATTCAGACTTTTTCTTGTCATTACTTGCTAAACAACACAACTATTTACATCCACATTGTATTTGGTCTTCTAAGTGTGAAAGGAAAATAAAGATTGGGACTCCAACTCATTAAGCTAAAGGGAAAAGTCAAGCTGGGAACTCAGTCATGCAAACCTGCCTCCTCCTTTTGGTTCCTAAATAAGATGGCTACAAGATAAAAAGCTCATATTTTTCCCACAAGGAAATTTCTGGTGTGCTTTAAGATCTTTAAAGTGTTTCTGTTAAAATTCATCATGGCAATGTAAATCAATAGCTTATCCTTTTTATTCTTTTTTTTTTTTGAGATGGAGTTTCACTATTGTCACCCAGGGTGGAGTGCAATGGCACAATCTCGGCTCACCACAACCTCTGCCTCCCGGGTTCAAGTGATTCTCCTGCCTCAGCCTCCTGTGTAGTTGGGATTACAGGCATGAACCACCACACTTGGCTAATTTTGTATTTTTAGTAGAGACGGGGTTTCTCCATGTTGGTCAGGCTGGTCTTGAACTCCTGACCTCAGGTGATCCACCCACCTCAGCCTCTTAGAGTGCTGGGATTACAGATGTGAGCTGCTGTGCCTGGTCTGATATCTCATCTTTACAATGCATAGGACAGAACTCAGAGTCATCCCTCTGCCCACCTGACACAAATGCATATCTGATTGTTCCCCTCCCTGTTTGTCTATGTTATGTAAAAATACAGATTCACTGAGCCAAAGACATGGATGACTGTATCAGTCTGTTCTCACCCCTCTGCCCACCTGACACACATGCATATCTGATTGTTCCCCTCCCTGTTTGTCTATGTTATGTATAAACGCAGATTCACTGAGCCAAAGACATGGATGACTGTATCAGTCTATTCTCACCCCTCTGCCCTCCTGACACAAATGTATATCTGATTGTTCCCCCTCCCTGTTTGTCTATGTTATGTATAAATGCAGATTCACTGAGACAAAGGCATGAATGACTGTATCAGTCTGTTCTCATACTGCTCTGAAGAAATACTCAAGACTGGGTCATTTATAAAGGAAAGAGGTTTAATTGACTCACAGCTCTGCATGGCTGGGGAGGCCTCAAGAAACTTACAATAATGGCAGAGAGCACCTCTTCACAGGGGGGCAGGAGAGACAATGAGTGCAAGCACGGGAAATACCAGACACTTACAAAACCATCAGATCTCATGTGATTCATTATCATGAGAACAGCAAAGAGGAAACTGCCCTGATGATCCAATTACTTCCACCTGGTCCCACCCTTGACACATGAGGATTATTACAATTTATGGTGAGAATTGTGTGGGGACACAGAGCCAAACCATATCAATGAATGTTTTCCCCCTACCCCAATCTTACATGAAAACTGTATTTCTCAATATTTCACCCTTTCCCCTTTAAATTTGGAGCCCTCATAATCATTTTTGAAGAAAGGCATAGACCTGTCTCCTGGGTGTGCATCCTTAACGTTGGCAAATAAACCTCTTAAAATGATCGAGATTTGTCTGGGTCGTGTTTCCTGATTGACCGAAGTGTTCCAGAGATGATATAAAGTACAGTCATGCATGGCTTAATGACATGTGTATGTTCTGAGACATGCATTACTAAGCAATATTTTTGTTTTGTGAACATCATAAAGTGTACTTACATAACCCTAGATGGTATATATGTTTATATTTTTTCATATGAGAAACCATATGTTCTAGCACCGTCATTGAATATCAGTCACTTTCCCTACTTGATCTGCAGTGCTAGTATCAAGTCCCACATATCAGGTTTTATCGGGGGAACCAGCCCCCAATATTTCAACATAGGTTCTTTCTATTTTCCCTAAGTGTTGGCTGGTCTGAGAAATAAGGGGTACAAAGAAAGAAATTTTACATCTAGGCCTCTGGGGGTGTCATTAGGGATTTTGAAAGGGGAGGGGGTTTACGAATAGGGAGTAGGTAACAAGGGTCACATGCTTCAAAGGGCCATAAAGATCACAAGGTGAAGGCAAAATTAGAACCACTGATGAGGGTCTGTGTCCCACTGTGCACACATTGTCTTGATAAACATCTTAACAGGAAACAAGGTTCAAGAGCAGAGACCAGTCTGACTAGAATTCACCAGGCTGGAATTTCCCAATCCTAGCAAGCCTGAGGGTACTGCAGGAGACCAGGGTGTATTTCAGTCCTTATTTCAACTGCATAAGAGAGATACTCCCAGAGCGGCCGTCTATAGACCTACCCCCGGGAATGCATTCCTTTCCCAGGGTATTAATTATTAATATTCCTTGCTGAGAAAAGAATTCAGTGATATTCTCTTATTCACACGTCCATCTATAGGCTCTCTGCAAGAAGAAAAATATGGCTGTATTCTGCCCGACCCCACAGGCAGTCAGACCTTATGGTTATCTTCCCTTGTTCCCTGAAAATCGCTGTTATTCTGTTCTTTTTCAGGGTGCACTGATTTCATATTGTTCAAACACCCATGTTTTACAATCAGATTTGATATTGTTTGAACACACGTTTTACAAACAATTTGTACACTTAATGCAATCATCACAGGGTCTTGAGGCGACATACATCCTCAGCTTATGAAGATGATGGGATTAGATTAAAGTAAGACAAGGATAAGAAATTATAAAAGTATTAATTATAAAAGTATTAATAAATGTCCATGAAATCTTCACAATTTATGTTCTTCTGACACGGTTCCCACCAGTCCCTCCATTCTGGATCTCTGACTTCCTGCAAGAAGGTTTCTATATGTGTTTATAATCTTAAGGGGCCATGGTAATATACATGGTTCATTATTGATTAAAAGGTCATTATGAGGCACATGACTGCATATGGAAGGATAAGCATGGGTTATATGAAAATATACCATTTTATATAAGACTTGAGCATCAGTGGATTTTGGTATCTGTGGCGGTATTCTGGAGCTGATTTCCCATGGATACTGAGGAACAACTGTACTTTGAAAATGAAAGGTGCATGCATTTTTGTCATTAAAATTAGGTCAAATATTTAAATGCAGAATCACTGCATAATCAGTTCCTTCAAGACTGCGTCTATCTCTCTCATCAAGGCCCAGGATCTTTTATCTAGATACACTGCAGTGTGTCATTCCATTAACATGGTGTGTCTTCTTTGTGTCCTTGGGACTGGACTTCAGCTACACCTCATAGTTGTGAGATGGTGTGGTTCACATGGAAGTGCTAAACAACTTTGTTTTTTCAGTGAAGTGCAACCTCGTAATACTGTGCATCACCATGCCTGGCTAGTTTTTCTATTTTTTGTAGAGACAGGGTTTCACCATGTTGCTCAGTCTGGTCTTGAACTCATGAGCCCAAGTGATCCACCTGCCTCAACCTCCCAAAGTGCTGGAATTACAGGCATGAGCCACTGTACCTGTCCTAACAAACCATTTGAACTACAGGTGAAGCGAAGTCTCTCTCTCTGATATTTGGCGTTCTTTTTACAACTCCTAAAATATCTAAATGTGCCTCCCTCTCAGGGCACACAGCCCAATCCTATTTTCTCCCATATGATAGGAAAGAAAGAATCACATAACAAAATCTTCATTGTGAAGAGCACACGGTCAAAACATTTTTTAAAATCCTATTTTGAAGTCCAGTTATGCAAAGAATTAATAAATAATGACACAAATTGATGAAAGTGTAGCTATCTTACTGAAACCAGTGTAAGAACACAAATGGAATTCATAATGAGCCACAAAGTCATCTGAATCCAGATCAAAATGTCAAGGTCTTGAGAAAAGGCCCAACTGGGAGCAAATTATGAAATCTACATGAGTCTCTTAAGGACGACTTAGGGAAGGCTTGGCCTTTGGTTGTTATTATGAGACTGATATGGTTTGGCTGTGTCCTCACCCAAATCTCGAATTGTTGTTCCCATAATTCCCACGTATTGTGGGAGGGACCTAGTGGGAGGTAATTGAATCATGAGGATTGTGCTGTTCTTATGATAGTGAATAAGTCTCATGAGATCTGATGGTTGTATGCAAGGAAGTTCCCCTGCACATGCTTTCTCTTGTCTGCTGCTGTGTAAGACCTGAACTTTGCCTTCTGCCATGATTGTGAGGTCTCCCCAGCCAAGTGGCACTGTGAATCCATTAAACTTATTTTTCTTTATAAATTACCCAGTCTTGGTCATGTCCATATTAGCAGCATGAGAACAGACTAATACGGAGACTTATTATGAGTTTGATAGGAAGGTGCAGAAACAGAGTTCTGGAGTCAGATTATGGGTGACAGCTACATAATCTTTTTTATTCCAGAAAATTGAAAGATTTTATATATGAGTGGAACTTAGTTTCTGTTCAGTGTTGATGTGGGAAAAAATGAGGTTAGATTTGTGAGCAGGAGCTGAATCATTAAAAGTCTTCAAGTCCTTGCTAAAGAGTGAGAACCTAAGTTTTAAGCTGTTGTTAAGTGCTTTTAAGTCCTTGAGGAACACAGTTACCTGTCTAGAGATGTTAGTCTGGAAGTGAACAAGATAACGGGAAGTAAGAGGAGTGCAGGCTGATGGAAACATGATGGAAAATGGAAATATTTCAGATGAGAGAGGGTGAGGTTTTCACTGAGTATAAGAGTGCAGGCTGATGGAAACATGATGGAAAATGGAAATATTTCAGGTGAGAGAGAGTGAGGGTTTCACTGAGTCATAAAGTTGTGGAGAAGAAGCAGTGAGTAGAATACTTAAGAAGTAGAATTAATAAAACTTTGTGACAGAACAGGTGATGGGTCTGGGAGAGAACTATATCTGGAACAGTGGATCTCAGAGTGCTCCATGAAAATAAGACTCTTTCTATCATAATACAGCTATGTTACTTGTATTTTTCGCTTTTTTTGTTCTCTGCTTTGGTGCAAAAGCAGTAGTAAGTAAAACGGTAGCAAAAACAAGACAGAGGCTCCAAATAATAGTAGCAGTTCTATTATTTACAGTCACTTGGTTGCCTAAATAAGTAAACAGGCCAATTTTATTTTCATGTTACTTAAGAATATCATTGATGAAGCAGTAAAAAATAACATTTTCATTAAATCTAGATCCCCAAGTATGTCTTTTCAGTATTCTATTTGATAAAATGGTAAGAACTCATAGAGCACTTATTACTTAAAAATGAACTAAGTGTGACAGGGTGCAGTGGCTCATGCCTGTAATCCCAGCACTTTTGGAGCTCAAGAGTTTGTGACCAGTTGGAGCAACATGGTGAAACCCAATCTCTACAAAAAAATGTTAGCCAGGGGTGATGATGTAAACCTGTAGTCTACTGTAGGGATGAGCCCTACAGGGTCTTTGGGTTTTCCTCACCGTGTGCAGAGATGAGAGATCATAGAAATAAAGACACAAGACAAAGAGATAGAAGAAAACACAGTTGGGCCTGGGGGACCACTGCCACCAAGATGTGGAGACTGGTAATGGCCCCGAATGCCTGGCCAAACTGTTATTTATTGAATACAAGGCAAGGGGGCAGGGTAAGGAGTGTGAGCCATCTCCAATGATAGGTAAGGTCACGTGGGTCTCTTGTCCACCAGTCGGGGGACCTTCCTTGTTTGGCAGCCGAGGCGGAGAGAGAGAGAGGACAGCTTACGCCATTATTCCGTCTGTGCATTCCAAATACTTTTAGTACTTTCACTAATTCCGCTACTGCTATCTAGAAGGCCAAGCCAGGTGCAGAGGACGGAACATGAAAGCAGACCAGGAGCCTGACCGCTGAAGCACAGCATCACAGGGAGACAGGCCTCCAGATGGCTGCGGGAGAGCTTGACTGATGTCGCCTTCCACAAGAGGTGGTGGAGCAGAGTCTTCTCTAACTACCCCGGGGAAAGGGAGACTCGCTTTCCCGGTCTGCTAAGTAACCGGTGCCTTCCCAGGCACTAGCGCTACCGCTAGACCAAGGTCTGCTAAGTAACAGGCGTCTTCCCAGGCGCTGGCGTTACCGCTAGACGAGGGAGCCCTCTGGTGGCCGTGTCTGGGAGTGACAGAGGGCTCATACTCTTGTCTTCTAGTCACTTCTCACCATGTCCCTTCAGCTCCTATCTCTGTATGGCCTGGTATTTCCTAGGTTATAGTCGTGGAACAGAGATTATTATAATATTGGAATAAAGAGTAATACTACAATCTAATGATTACTAATATTCACATATCATCATTTATATTCTATTTCTAGTACAAGTATTCTTCTATATATTTTCTTTATTACACTGGAACCGCTCATGCCCTCAGTCTCTTGCCTTGGCACCTGGGTGGCTTGAGGCCCACAGTCTACTACTGGGGAGGCTGAGGCGGGAGGATCATTTGGCCCCGGGAGACAGAGGTTGCAGTGAGCTATGATTGCACCACTGCACTCCAGCCTGGGCAACAGAGCAAGACCTTGTCTGAAAAAAAAAAAAAAGTGAGATTGTCTTAAAGAAAAATAACTGAGCTGTTACTGAAAATGTAAAAAGTTTTCAAGTGAAAATTAAAATTTGGAAAACGTATGTGCATTCTTGAACATGACAATTTTTCAAAACTTACGGATTTTTCTGAGGAGATCAAGGGTAATATTACTGAATTTCAAAATATTTTATAATATAGTGTATCAATATTTGGAACATCTGCATTATTCAATGAACCAATATTTTCCCAATGGCCATGCCAATATGATAAAAATCATGATCGGTAAAAGACCCATTAACATTGAAAATAGACCTATAGGTTTTAATGTGATATAGCAGAAAAAGCATATGATGTGGTGTCATGCCTCCCATTGCAATAACCTGAATAAAGCATTTGTTTGCAGATCAAAGAAGAAGAACAATAGTTGGCCAAAAATACTTAATTTTTTTTTTCGAGATGGAGTTTCACTCTGTCACCAGGCTGGACACAATCTTGGCTCACTGCAACCTCCACCTCCTGGGTTCAAGCGATTCTCCTTCCTCCGCCTCCCAAATAGCTGGGATTACAGTCACTCACCACCAAGCTTGCTAATTTTTGTATTTTTAGTAGAGACGGGGTTTCATCATGTTGGCCGGCTGGTCTCGAACTCCTGACCTCAAGTGATCTGCCCGCCTCAGCCTCTGAAAGTGCTTGGATTAGAAGCGTGTACCACCACACTTCGTCCAAAAATTATTTTAAATTATTCTTCCTTTCTAGAACTTCATGTCTGTGTGGGGCAATATTTTCTTCACACACTTAGTCAAAACAACATATTGCAACAGACTGAATTCAGAAGCAGATATGAGTATCAAGCTGTCTTCAGTTAAGCCAGACATTTTGCAAAAATGTAAAAAAATTGCAACTCTTCAAACTATGTGGGGACTTGTTTTATTTTAAAATGCTATTTTGTTAGCATTAACTGAATTTATTATTTTTAGGCATGTTACCTTTTTTTTTTTTGAAGTGAAATCTTGCTCTGTTTCCAGGCTGGAGTGCAGTGGCGCGATCTTGGCTCACTGCAACATCCACCTCCTAGGTTCAAGCGATTCTTCAGCCTCAGCCTTCCGAGTAGCTGGGACAATAGGTGCCCATGACCACGCCCGACTAATTTTTTTTTCTTTTTTTTTTTGTATTTTTAGTAGAGATGGGGTTTCACCGTGTTGGCCAGGATGGTCTGGATCTCTTGACTTTGTGATCCACCTGCCTCAGCCTCTCCAAGTGCTGGGATTACAGGTGTGAGCCACCGCACCCGGCCAATATTTACTAATTTAGAAGTCCTAATTTCTCTTATGATAATCATTAATAGAAATAATACATATGAATAAATTTGGGTGAGAGAGAAAGGTTTGGAAGTTGTCAATTATTTTTCCTTTTAACTTATTTAAAATTCAAGTGTCATGTCTACAAAATGGCTGCAAAACTCATAAATTAAAATAGAGACCTATTCCTCCACACTCCTTTAGTTTCATTTTTTCCTTCTATCAGAGAGTTTATCACTATTATTTTTAGTCTTGTCATCCCAACTGAATTATGAAGTCCTGCAGAAAAAAAAGTTATGTGCTTTATTTTTGATTTATTTGTACTTAGCACCATGAATTGCTTAGGGATTGTTCTTTAAAATAAAATTTAAATAACATCAGGACAGGCATGGGGGCTCACACCTGTAATCACAGCACTTTGGGAGACTGAGGTGGGCAGATTACCTGAGGTGAGGAGTTCGAGAACAGCCTGGCCAACACTGAAAAACCCCGTCTCTACTGCAAATACAAAATTAACCAGGCGTGGTGGCGCTCTCCTATAATCCCAGCTACTCCGGACACAGAGACAGGAAAATCGCTTAAAAGTGGGAGGCAGAGTTTGGATTGAGCTGAGATCGTGCCACTGCAATCCAGCCTGGGTGACAGAGCAAGACTCCATCTCAAAAATAAATAAATAAATAAACAAAAACATCAGTTAGCAATGTTGTCATTTAGGCATATTTAGGCATTAATTCTATCACTTACCAGAGCTTAATATTTTAAATTGTTGATCATGGAATTTGTTGATTTGAACCTGAACAACCTTAATTATTTTCAAGTAGTTTTTCCTTCAATTAAATTATATTAATTTTATATTTATTTGAAATAATTTATTTCCATATTTTTATTAAACTTTAATCAATGTTTTGTGCTTTTATAGCCATGTGAAATATTTGTTTTTGAAATATTGATTTTAAAAACAATGCAATTAGTTGATATTTATTATTGAAAGTACTAGAATTTCAAAACCTTAATATTGATAATTATTGTCATTTAGAAAAATAAGACTGTTGTAGAAATGAAGAGAGAAGGAGTAAGAAAGGCGATTGCTTTTTATTTTGAGTATTTTCTTTTCCTTTTTTTCTTTTTAGTAAAAATGGGCTCTTGCTGTGTTGACTAGGCTGGCCTTGAACTCCTGGCCTCAAGTGATCCTCCTGCCTCGGCTTCTCAAAGCACTGGGTTTACAGATATGAACCACTGTGCCCAACCTGATAATTATTTTTATGTCATATTGACAGGTTTTAGACTAATAAAACATTTTTATTTTGTTTATTATTTCAGATTCAGGGGTACATGTGCAAATTTGGTTTAAGGGTAAATAGCATGGTGCTTAAGTTTGGGCTTCTATTGGTCCCATCAACCAGATAGCGAACATAGTACCTAATAGGAAGCTTCTCAGGTCTTGTGCCATTCCCTCCTCCCTCCTTTGAAGTCCTTAGTGTCTATTGTTCCCAAGTTTATGTCTGTGTGTACCCAAGATTTAATTCCCACTTATAAGTGAGAACCTGTGATAGCTGGTTTTCTGTTTCTGCATTAAGTTGCTTGGGATTATGGGCACCAGATGCATCCATGTTGCTGCAAAGAACGTTATTTAATTCTTTTTTATGGCTGCATAGTATTCCATGGTGTACATATGCCACATTTTCTTTGTCGTATTCATCATTAATGTGCACCTAAGTTGATTCCATGTCTTTGCTATTGTGAACATATTAGTGTATGTGTCTTTGGGTAGAATAATTATAATTTATTTTATTTTGGGTATACACCCAGTAATGGGATTTCTGGGTCTAATGATAGTTCTGTTTTTTGAGAAATCTTCAAACCACTTTCCACAGTGGCTGAACTAATTTGCATTCCTACCAAGAGTGTATAGGCATTCCCTTTTCTCTGTAGCCTTGCAAAAATCCGCGGTTATTATTATTATTATTATTTTGAGATGGAGTTTCACTCTTATTGTCCAGGCTAAAGTGCAAAGGCACAATCTCAGCTCACTGCAACCTCCTTCTCCTAGGTTCAAGTGATTATCCTGCTTCAACCTCCCGAGTAGCTGGGATTATAGACATGCACCACCATGCCCAGCTAATTTTTTGTATTTTTAGTACAGACCGGGTTTCATCATGTTGGCCAGGATGGTCTCGAACTCCTGACTTCAGGTGATCCACCTGCCTCAGCCTCCCAAAGTGCTGGGATTACAGGCTTGAGCAACCACATCCGGCCAAGATGTTTTTTAAAACTAGAATTTTATACTCCTCATTAATACTTTTCCTTCCTGGCATCTCTTTAATTTCTTAGGGCACACACTGAGGCAGATGGCATCTCACTGTTAATCAAGAACAAAAAGCCTTAAATTATGATAGAAACCACTATAGCAATGTCTGTGTCAAGAGGCTGTCTGCATATCTAAATGTACATTTCACAGTACAGCAAACACTTTTACTGAACTACATTATCTGTCAGATTGCCTAAGGCACTGAAATAGAAAATTCCTAGTTCTTGCTGTATTTTGCTAGGTTATACATTAGTTTCTTTTGTTGGTTTTTGCTATGAGAGGACCAAAAAGATAGAAACCACAGTATCTGTTTTAATATTCTTTTTTTTTTTTGAGACAGGGTGACACTGTCACCCAGGCTGGTGTAATCACAACTCACTGCAGCCTCAACTTCCTGGGTTCAAGCGATCCTCCCACCTCAGCCTCCCAAGTACCTGAGACCACAGGCATGTGACACCACACCTGGTGTGTTTTAGTATTTTCTTGTACACAGAGGGTTTTGCCATGTTTCCCAGGGTGGTCTCAAACTCCTGGGCTCAAAGGATCCTCCTGCCTCAGCTTCCCAATGTGCTGTGATTACAGGTATGAACCACCATGCCTGGCCTTAATATTATTTTCTATTTGTAAATGGAAAGCTTCAGAAAAGACCCTCAAACAGGACTATAAATGTTTTCACAATACTGTTTGGTACAGCCAGATATTGATAGTATGTATAATGTAACTCAGGGGTCCCCACCCCTGGGCCATGGACAGGTATGTGTCCGTGACCTCTGAGGAACCGGGCTGCACATCAGGAGGTGAGTGGTGGCTGAGTGAGCATTAAGACCTGAGCTCTGCCTCCTATCAGATCAGCTGCAGCATTCGATTCTCATAGGAGTACAAACCCCAATGTGAACTGCACATGTGAGGGATCTAGGTTGCATGCACTTATGAGAATCTAATGCCCGATGATCTGAGGTGCAACAATTTCATCCTAAAACTGTCCTCCCTGCCATCTGTGGAAAAATTGTCTTCCATGAAACCCATTTCTGGTGCCAAAAAAGGCTGGGGACCACTGATGTAACTTATATACCAGTATATCACATTTATTCTTACCTTTTGACATATATCCTGAAATTAGGTGTGGACAAGCTGTGGGAGTTAGGTGTGAAATTAGCTTAGCAAGTTAGACTCCCAGGACAATTCCACACTTCACTAAGCAAATGATGGCTATTCTTAACTGACAACATCATCACCACCTGTCTCTTACTAACCCTAACAGTATAATAGTATACACGGTAGGAGCGCAGCCAAATGTCTTCCTCCAGCCCCACATCCAATGGCTGAAATGTGCACCTTCTTACCTAAGGTTGTGTATCCCCTTCTCTGCAGCTACAGCCCACTTGGCCTGGGTTCCATGTTCGACGTGGCTCCCCAGAGTTCTGTCATGGGAGTAAGCACCAGTCATCTGCAGTGTAACTCACTTGGCAACACATCCTTATTTTGTCTTCTTCCTGAACCCCGTCCCATTCTGTCCCTCCTTGACCAATGCTTCCAGTCTCCTTGGGATCATGTCCCAAATAAACTACATGCACTGAAATCTTTGTCTTAAGTTCTGCTCCTGGGGGAATCCAAACTAAGACATGGTGAATCTTCCATATTTAGGAGGAACTGGTGCCTGTTGAAAATGAATTGTTGTGTTTGTTGGCGAAAAATTCATCTGTTATCCTGAAAGCAAACAAATCCCACAAGAATACCATATTGCCAATATTGTCTGTGTCTCTAGCCTACCAGGTAAGGAGAGCTGCACTGATGCTGGAAGTTGACAACACCTGTGAATGACTCTGGAGCCTTCTTGTGGACCTCCACCTTGGAGGAGGTGGCAAACGCTTAGTAGTCTTCCAGGAGTCAACATGTGGGCACTCACGCTGATCTCCATATCATTGTGGAGAGTCAATGTCAAGGCCCCTCTGCCCTTCAAAGCTGTCACATTGTATGTGCCTTAAATGTCACCTGCCAGAAGCAAGCCAGGTTTACCTTTGGACACCAACAGCATTCTTTTCTTTCATTCATCCTCCTGACTTACCAGACCCTGCTATGAATGACTTGATTGTTCTTCAACTTCCAATTTACCCTCAAAATTGGAAGATTTTCTACCCATTCAAAATAATTGATTTTGCCTTTTTGGAAAGCAGCTCAAAAAGAGATTTCTTGACTAAGTAAAAATTAATCCATTTTTAGGAAGCTTGTATTTGGATGTGTCTGTTGGATGTACATATCATTTTTTGACATACCTATCACACTGTCTGGAATGACACCTCAGTTTTGTCCCTTTTCTTTCAAAGTAGGCCTTTGGGAATCACATTTACTTTCATATAGAAACATGATTTTTCCTCTCAAGAGCTTGTCTTTGTATTTAGCAAAAAAAAACCTTCTCCATTCTGTAGAGAAAATCCCCAAATTGTGCAAAACCTCTGGAGAAAGCACTGAGCCCAGAAAATCAGCATTCCAAGAAAAGGACTCTGAACACAGTGTCTGCAATTCTGTGCTGAACTGTTAAATGCAGATGTAGTGAAATTAATAGCTTTTTCAAAATGTACAATATAGTGAATGGGTGTTGCCAATACATTATAATTACCCCGGACTTGTGTGAGGTGGATCTTTTGGAGGAGAACTGGCTTTCTCAGATGAAGGGAATCCTGTCTGTGAATGAAGAAGACAAGGAGGAATGTAGTATTCTTGGGAGAGGCTGCCCTGGTTATCATGATGTCAGTGGTCCTTTAACCCAAAAGCCCACAGATATTCTCCCTAACCACAGAAAGTATAATTATTTACCACCCCCCAAGAATCTTGCTGACTTCATTTTTTCACTGAGTTCTTGTTCAGAAACGAAGATTGAGAGGAATTATTCCCAGAATCAGCATGCAGTACTCACCTTTGAAGCCTTTGAGCTCTTTGCTTTCTTTCACAGCTTGTTTTTTCCTGCCCGTTTTTCCTGTCTTCTTTCAGGCTAAGCCTCCCTCCTTTTGGTAGAGGCTTTTTATACCATTTGGGAACAGGTTTGGATAAGCTACCTTAATGAAGGACCACACATCCCTCCAGAGATGATAAAAGACTTTCTGTCTTTTCTGGTAAGTCCTTTCTGGAATAAAGATCAGTGTGTTTCTGGATCAGTCTTGGCGTCTACGGATTTTACATTCTGTCTGTGAGGCATATATTCTAGTGAATTTACTTTCAAATTTGTCTGCATGCCTAGTTTAATATTTTGATCTGCATGTCTAGGTTAAAATTTTTGTGAACGATCTTATCTTTGTTTCTTTTGATTTTATTTGATTCTTTATCCTTGTTTCTGAAATTCTCCCAAGAGCAAAAGTAAACATTCTAAATGGTGGGTCAGGATGGCTAACTAAAAGCTGCCAGGGCAGTTGTCACCCTCTAAAACACTGGCCTAAACCCCTGGAATTCCATAAGAGGATTTATAGGATTTTCTCTACTCTTGCAAGATTAATGAAAAACAGAACGCTCACAGGGTGCGGTGCCTCATGCCTGTAATCCCAGCACTTTCAGAGGCCAAGGTGGGTGGATCACGAGGTCAAGAGATCAAGACCATCTTGGCCAACATGGTGAAACCTCGTCTCTATTAAAATACAAAAAAAAAAAAAAATTAGCCAGGCATGGTGGCATGTGCCTGTAGTCCCAGCTACTCGAGAGGCTGAGGCAGGAGAATCGTTTGAACCCGGGAGAGTGGAAGTTGCAGTGAGCCGAGATTGTGCCACTGCATGAGAGCCTGGTGACAGAGCAAGACTCCATCTAAAAAACAACAAAAAACAAGAAACAAAACAAAATTGCATTCTCCAACATTAAGGCATGCTAGGTTTTCTGGGACTCCAGCTGGTTACATATTATGACTCATATGTTTATCTTGCTGGGAAAATTACATCAAGGAAAATACAGATCTCCAATAGTCATTATTTGAAAAACCTGCAATTATAGAGTTAATATGTAGAGATTTCTAAGTTCTCTGCATACCTCTCTCTGTTCTTCTTCTACCCATTCACTGTTTATGGAATTCTGGCCTGTGCCCCAAATCTTAAAGAGTTTTCAAATTAATGGCTTTATAAATTACAACAGCTTCATGATATCAACAAGTGAGATAATCTTTAGAAATATAAATTTAATTCTAAAATACCGTGTGTTAAGAAAAAATAAGAAATATAAATTTAGGTTTACCTGACTTACAATTGTGTACAATGAAAGAATACTTCATTAGAAGTTAATATAAGAAAAAAATAACTAGATAAATATTTATGAAATTAGGCTTTCCGATCAAACAGGTCAAAATCTTGGCCTTACAGCAATAATCTAAGGTATGTCTAACACAAAAATTTTGCTGTTTCTGCCACGCAAAAGCAAAAATTATAAATAATTTAGAACCGCTAAAAATCTTTCCTGTCCACACTTGCTAGTCAAGCAAATCACACTGGCAAACAGAAAATAGATTTGCTAGTAATTCAAGGTTACATGGAGATTTTATTTTTCTTATACAATTTATCCAGTCCCAGCTTAAATGTAAACATTGAAAATATAACCCTAAACTCATCTGAAACTTAAGAAAAGGTGAAAAAGGTTTTTTAAAAAGTCAAACTGCCATGGAAACTGCTTTACCCAAACTGTGGTTCACAGCACTTATTAGATTACCTATCGTGGCAAATAAATTTTAACCATGTTTTACATTTTGCCAAAAAATATAATTTGGGTCCAACTGTCTTTTATAAACTGGTGGATTAGTATTACTATCTCATGACTAAAAGTCTAAATAAAAAAAACATAAGATCTGTTATTTGTGTGTGTATATGTGGTCAGATGTGTTTATGCATATACACATGTATTTTGTTATATGTTTTGTCTACATGGTAAAATCTGGTGTAGTGATCCTGAAATCCCTTAAGAAAGTCTATTTAGATAAATGACCTCATGAAATATACAATAATTAACCTAAATGCTTTTTAATTCATGTGACTTAATCTGTGATAAATAAACTATTCTAAAATTAGTGGTAAAATATAAATAGAAATATCTTCAAAATGGTCAGTGTACGTTTTACCCGGGTTTACTGGTCAAATGGTTTTATATTTGTCTCTTCTAGAAATCTGTTATTATGTGGGTGGCAAGCCACCCAGGTGCCGAGGTAAGAGACCAAGGGCAAGAGCTGTTCCAGTGTAATAAAGAAAATATATAAATTAAGAATAGTTATACTAGATATAGATCATAGATATGATTATATATGAATATCATTAATCATTAGTTTGTAGCAGTTACTCTTTATTCCAATATTATAGTAATCCTCACTCTGCCATCATAACCTAGGAAAAACCAGACCATACAGAGACAGGAGCTGAGGGGACGTAGTGAGAAGTGACCAGAAGACAAGGGCTCCTTGGTCTAGTGGTAATGCCAGCTCTGGGAAGACACCTGTGACCTAAGCGAACCGTGCTCTAGCAGTAGTGTCAGTGCCAAGGAAAAGCACCCACTACTTAGCAGATTGGAAAAGGGAGTCTCCCTTTCCCCAGGGAAGTTTAGAGAAGTCTCTGCTCTGCCACCTCTTGTGGAGGGCCTGATATCAGTCAGGGCCACCTGCAGTTATCTGGAGGCCTGACCATCTCCCTGTGATGCTGTGCTTCAATGGTCATGCTCCTAGTCTGCTTTCATGTTCCATTGTGTACACCTGGCTTGCCTTTTAGATAGCAGCAGCAAAATTAGTGAAAGTACTAAAAGTCTCTGATATGCAGAAATAATGGCATAAGCTGTCTCTCTCTCTCCCCGCCTCAGCTGCCAAACAGGGAAGGGCCCCCATCTGGTGGACACGTGACACACGTGACCTTACCTATCGTTGGAGATGGCTCACACTCCTTACCTTGACCCCTTGTCTTGTATCCAATAAGTAACAACGCAGACTGGCATTCAGGGCCACTACTGGTCTCTGTGTCTAGGTGGTAGTGTTCCCCTGGGCCCAGCTGTATTTTCTTCTATCTCTTTGTCTTGTGTCTTTATTTCTATGATCTCTCATCTCCACACACAGGGAGAAAAATCCACAGACCCTGTGGGGCTGGTCCCTACATTATTAGTCATAATTTTGGTTGCTATGTTAACTTTTTCCTAGAGTTACGTCTATGTGGATATGTTACATGGATTTTTATACCCATATAACTTTCTATATTGCTATAAAATTGTTCTCACCCATAAAATACTGATAATACTGATATGTGACAGATTTCTTGCTGCCTAAGTTTTCACTATAATTTAAGGTTACTACAAGTTTAAAATTCTAATTAATATAGGGCAGGTACAGTGGCTCATGCCTGTGATCCCAGCACTTTGTGAGGCCGATGCGGGTGGATTGCTTGAGCCCAGGAATTTGAGACCACTCTGGGCAACATGGTTAAACCCCGTCTCTACAAAAAATATAAAAGTTAGCCAGGCATAGTGGCACACGCCTGTAGTCCCAGCTACTGGGGAGTCTGAGGTGGGAGGGTTGCTTCAGCCCAGGATGTTGAGGCTGCAGTGAACTGTGATTGTGCCACTGCACTGCAGCATGGGTGGCAGATTGAGACCTGTCTCAAATAAAATAAAATAATAAAATTGTAATTAATATGGATAATTCTTTTTGTGGGGTGGGGGAACAGGATCCCACTCTGTCACCCAGGCTGGAATGCAGTGGCAAGATCATAGCTCACTGCCACCTCGAACTCCTGGGCTCCAGCAATCCTCCTGCCTCAGCCTCCCAAAGTGCTGGGATTACAGGTGTAAGCCACCATGCCTGGCCTAACTAATATATATAATTCTATATAAAAGTGTGCCTTAAAAAGTAGGATAAGTTTTTAATAAGAAAAAATGTATAAGAAATGCATACAAATATGCTCTTTATTGAGAAAGAAATAATAATTTTATATAATTTAAAGGTTATTTAAAGGTTGTTTCAAAATATTGATTCAGGAAAGACAGTGAAATGTTAAAGAAGATCCAGTAAGTAGAAGAGAGAGAGGTGAAGAAAGTTATTGATAGGGAGATGGAGACAGGAGAAGGTTGAAAAGAAAAGAAATATTTCACATGGCAAAGAATCTTGTGTGGTAAATTTTCATCCTAAACTAAAATGGCTAGTTATTTAAGAGGGAAAGTACAGGACAAAGTGGAAAACCCAAGCACGTCACCAATGGTCTGAGTAACTCATTTGTGAAAAGAGAATTTATGCAAGATATTTTGCCTGTGACCAAGTTGGTTACAATCAGAAGAAAATTAAATTATAAGTCTTACTAAGGATTGAGCTTTGGCATTAAAAATACACTAATACAAAACTGAAAAAATGTGGTCACCTATGTTAGAACAAGGTTTTCTTAAAGTATTGATTTAGTTTTCATAAAATTACAAGAGGTTTTGAGTTTTAATTCTGAAATCTGTTCCTTAACAGCCATCTTCTAAACTACAATTTCCATTTCTGTCAAATATCTTTTTGAGATCTATTTAATTTGCCTAGTTTGAGGATGGAGATTCAGCTCCCCTTTTTCTTGCCTAAAAATGCATAACATTTTGCTTGGCTGAGGTGATAACTTTCCTTCAACCTTTTGTCAACTCTTGTAAGTTTTTTCCTGTGATTCCAACTCTGCTGTTATGTCCTGATGCTGAAATATATGTCCTGAAAAATCTAGAAAAACAGTGTTTTACTCCAACATAATTTGAAATTAATAAAAGTCTGATTGTCCTGATGTGATGTAGTCAGTCATGATTCTGGTTTCATGTAACCAAGTTTCATTGTCAATTGGGACCTTTGATCAGATTTTAAACCATGGCTATTCCAAGTTTTTGTCATTCACAGTTGTTTTGAAAATTTCTCTAAAAGCATTTGCAATCTGCTATAGTCCGAAACTGCTTTTCATAGAAAATAACAAATACTCTTGAAAACAGAATTCTGATAAATTTTTTGAGACAGGGTCTCACTCTGTTGCCCAAGCTGGTATGCAGTGGCACAGTCTTGGCTCACGGCATCCTTGACCTCCCAATCCTCTAATCTCAGCCTCCTGGATAATTTTTGTATTTTTTTTGTAGAGATGGGATTTCTCCATATTGCCTAGGCTGGTCTCAAACTCCCAAGTTGAAGTGATCTACCTGCCTCAGCCTCCCAAAGTGCTGGGATTGCAGATGTGAGCCACTGTGCCTGGCCAAATTTTTGATTATTTAAGATCAGTAGACTAAATAAAAATCTCCAGAGCTCAAATAAATAAACTGATGGGTTTACAAAACTGTTGATCAAGATTAAACAAAACAAAACAATTACATGAAATTAAGTGGTTCACAAAGATGATGTTTTTATGACTTTTATTTGAAACATTATTGGTTCTGAAATATTTTGCTTTCCAGTTTTAAGAAAACTTTATCTCATAAGCTACCTATAGTTTACAAAAATTCAGTAAAGTATACTTTTTTGAACAAAGATGCAAGCATTCATTTCGTTTCCGTACTTGATTCCTCCAAAATTTGGAAACTATTTGTGAATATTCTTTTATTTTTACTCGATAAATATCTGTTTCTCTTCATAAACAGAATGCCATTGAAAACATTGGTTATATTATTAAGGTTTTGACTGAAATCTCATATTTAAAAATGTGCATAAAATGCCTGGCTTCCAGTGCTTCCAGCCTGACAGTGAATTAGTAAAAATTGTCACTTCCTGGCAGGCTCAAGATCTTTAAGATTGTAAGTAAAATCTAAAACCTCCCTTGCTTTGGCCTCAAGAGGTCTTTAAACCTGAACTTTATGTAGATTAATGTAGAGAGAAAGTTCTGTTTCTAAAGAAAAACTATAATGCATCTGTTAGTAGACTGTAAACCTGTGCATTCTTTTCAAGTTCTTGTTATCTAAGTGTAGATTATACTAGATCCTGAATTTTCCTAATGTATTTCTCCTAATTTGGCAACAACTCTCCAACTAAAAGCAAAAGCTGCTCTGTTACTAAAGCCCTATGAGCTTCAACTAGATAAATTTTAAAGAATAAACATATGCCTGGTGTATGGATCACAGAAAGAGTTCACCAAACCAACTGATGTCATGACCAAAGACATTCAAACTACAAAGCAGGAGAAGTTAATGTTTTCCTGCCGATTTTCCCAGGTCATTAGAACATATTTTCCCAGGTCATTAGAACAAGACTCCATGTGATGAGATTTTTACCCCTCCTCCTTAATGCTACATTTTTCACTTGGCAGAATAATGATGTGAATGAAAATTCACAATCAATAGCTTCTGCTCATAAGTATACTTTGGTTAAATGAGAAAATGACTGTGTTATTGTCAATACTATATGCTGTACCTGGATAAATTTCTCCAGGAAATTGGAAATTTATTGACACAAAAGAAGAAGACAGGCCACGTGGTTACACCATCTCCCCTGATTCCCTATGATTATTTTATTTATTCAATTAGTTGTCTGTAAGCCTAGGTTAATGGCTCAAAGCCATTATGCAAACTAGAATTGTCCTATTAGTATTAATTTCATAATTTCCCTTTTAAACTGTGTATCCATTACTTAAGTTTCTTTTCAAAATTACAACTCCTAACAGAATAATACTGGTACAGCACTTTGAGATGATAGCAAAAGACTACAGAATAGACAAAATCAAACTTAATAATGAACTCCAGGTAGATTTAGCCTGAAGACTACACCCTTTAAATCTCCCTTGTTGCTCCAAATGTGCCTAAAAGGATGTTGACACTGACTCTTAGGTGCCAATTACCCCCTGCCTCAATGTGGGATGAGACCAAAAACCAAAATAGGTCCATCCTAGCACCAAGGGCCATCAAAACCAAACTAAAAGATGATTGATCAGTGATGCTTTTGGAAAAAGATCTGGAGCACAAAAGGGAAAAGTGAAATTGTCTGAATCAAAATGGAGTCACTAGTGATAAGAAAACTCTGACAGCTCGAGCTGGGGAAGGCCATGAAGACAGCATTCTCAGCAGTACATGCCTGATGATGAAAAAGATTCTACAAAAATTACAACCTTGCACAAAGTTCATGACAATGTTATACAAAAAAAAAAAAATTCTGTAAGGATATCTGCCCAGTAACTACTGCCTTCCAACCATGGACTGGCATCACGATTGTTATTGATTTTTGTAGCCAAGGATAATTATTTCAAAACAATTATATAACTTTCCTCATTGTTTCCTTTGAAAACCTTTGTCTTTGATGTGATTTTGGTGTTAGCCCTCTCCAAATCTCATGTTGAAATGTAATCCCCAGTGTTGGAGGTGGGTCCTGGGGAGGTGACTGGATCATGGGGGCAGGTCCTTTATGAATGGTTTAGCACCATCCCCTTGGTGATAAGTTCTCACCCTGAGTTCATGTGAGATCTGGTTGTTTAAAAGTGTGTGGAGGTCAGGCGCAGTGGCTCACGCTTTTAATCTCAGCACTTGGGGAGTCTGAGTTGGGAAGAGTACTAGAGATCAGGAGTTTGAGACCAGCCTGGCCAACATGATGAAATCCCATCTCTACTAAAAATACAAAAAAAGCTGGGCTTGGTGGCATGTGCCTGTAATTCCAGCTACTCAGGAGGCTGAGACAAGAATCGCTTGATCCCAGGAGGAAGAGGTTGCAGTGAGCTGAGATCATGCCACTGCACTCCAGCCTCGGAGACAGAGTGAGACTCTGTCTAAATAAAAAAAAGGAAAAGAAAAAAAAAAGTTGTGGCACCTCTCCCCTCCCTCTGTTGCCCCTGCTCTCACCACGTGTTGTGCCTGCTCCCACATCAAATTCTGCCATGAATAAATGTTTCCTGAGGCTCTCACCAGAAGCAGATGCCAGAACCATGCATCCCATAAGACCTGTAGAGCCATGAGCCAATTAAACCTCTTTCCTTTATAAACAACTCAGCCTCAGATATTTCTTTACAGCAACATACAAATGTTCTAGCAGAGTCTCTACCTCCCTGCATATGCACATGGTTTACTATGGCACACATATTTCTATTCAATGCTCTATTCCCAAACAAGTGTATTTTCTTTTAGAGAGACTTTGCTTCTTGTTTCGGTTGATGGTTCCAGCTGATCTCAGAAATACTGGAAAGGAGAAGCAAAACTGTAGCAGGGCAAGTCTCACTAACAGTTGAACAGGCAGGCCTCCATGACAATAGCTTCCACATTGACTGAACTGGTTAGGTTAAATATTAAAGGCAGAACGATAAGTTGCCCTTACACAAAGGCTGGAACATAACAATAGCCAAACAAAAGTCTGGCCTAGGCCTTTCCTGAGCCTTGAAATGCAACAAGATAACAAAGAAATTCTTACATTCCTCACACCAGGATGCATTTAGGATTAAAAATCTTCTATTGGATGTCTGAAGAAACTCCTACAGACCTCCACACCTTGGCTGGAGACAAGATAACGGTAATCACCTCCAGCAGCAGAACCCCATCTAGATTAGGTAAACTTACTGAGGCTCCAGAGGAAGGTCTCCAGGACCCAGACCTTAGTTATAGATTAGATGGAATCAATCACTTTTGTCCTTAGGAAAATGCACACTTACACATAGACATACAGCTTAGAAGGTATGTAAGCACTGGAAAAACTTGGTAACTTTGAGTTGGTCTGGTGATGTTTCCCCCAGCCTTCTCCCTATACCTGGTTACAGAAATAAAATCTCTTCTTTCCAAGTTTGGCTACATCTCACTACTGGACCATGAGAACAAGCAGCCTGACTCTTGGTTTGGTCCAGGAACACAACGAGCTAGAGAAAATCTAAATTAGAATTAGAAATATGGAGGCATGTACACAGATCAATTTGAATATTGGGCTCCAAATCCTTTCATAGATATTAAACATATACCTGAAATTACAAGAAATGAGGTAACCATTCAAAAGTTTATTCATGATTGAAGAGGGGCTGGGATACCCCTTTCTTCTTTGGGGACATGCTTTTCATTAGCCCTAATCTCATAATCCACATAGGAGCTCCTTCTAAAGATTTTTCTTTCTTTACCACTTTCTTCACTGCTGCTTGAAGGGCAACCCCAGATGCAGGTTGAGCCAATAGTAGCAGCCAAAGTCTGTAAGAACTGGGGTGTACAGTAAGAACTGGGGTGCACAGTAAGAACTGGGGTTGGGGTGCACTGTAAGAACTGGGGTGCATTCCCACCACCATTACCAGTGCTTTCACACCCTCCTATGGGATGCAGTACCCATGGCAGAGGAGCACTCTGAACAGAGCTGTGGGTTACGAGGCTGCATCTGCAGTCCACACTCTTAACAAACCACGAGATCAGCACTAACTCCCTAAAGTAGGCTGGGAACACAGATCGTCCTCCTTCACGCAGCTCTGGGAAGCTCTAACTTCTTGCTGCACTTAAGATAAATTTTCATGCAGCAATCCCACTACCAGGAATTTATCAAAAGGAAATATTTGGAATGCACACAGATGCATGCATTTATTCATCTGTAATTATCTGGATGCCTATCGGTAAGAAATTAATTATTTAAATTCATTCACATACATTCAAATGACAACTCCACAAACTTTAGGGTATAAAAATGGATTTCAAGGATCTTCTTTCTCAGAGAGGCAGTGTAGAGTGATGGCTAAGAATTCCAGCTGGGGAGCAAGCTCACCTGGACTCACATCTGAGCTCTATACTTACTGTCTGTGTGGCCTTGGGTAAATTATCAAGGGCTCTGAGCCCCACATTCCCCATCTGTAAAACGGATCTCTAGGAAGATTAAATGGGTTTTAATGTAAAGTGCCCAGGACACAGTGTACTTGGGACATAGCAAGAATTCAATGAAAATTACTCAGTATTGATGACATGTCCTTAAATGAGTAAAATATGTTATGAAACCACATGTAGATGATGATCATATTTTTGTTTCCTGTGTGAACCCAAAATATCTGAGACAGGTCTTAGTTCAGAAACATAATTTTGCCAAGGTTAAGAACACACCCATGACACAGCCTCAGGAGGTTCTTATGAAATGTGCCCAAGGTGGTTGGGATACAACTTGCTTTTATACATTTTTTTTTTTGAGACAGAGTCTCACTGTGTCACCCACACTGGAGGGCAGTGTCTCAATCTTGGCTCACTGCAACCTCCTCCGCCTCCCAGGTTCAAGCAATTCTCCTGCCTCAGCCTCCTGAGTAGCTGGCATTACAGGGGCCCACCACCACGGCCGGCTAATTTTTGTATTTTTAGTAGAGATGGGATTTCACCATGTTGGCCAGACTGTCCTCGAACCCCTGACCTTGTGATCCACCCGCCTCCGCCTCCCAAAGTACTGGGTTTACAGACGTGAGCCACTGCATACAGCCACTTTTATACATTTTAGGGAGAAATGAGACATCAATTAAAATATGTAAGATTTTCATTGGTTTGATCTGGTGGGGGGGGAGCTTCCAGATCATAGGTAAATTTAAACATTAGTTGAAAGAGTTATTATTAGTAGAAAGGAATGCCTGTGTTACAATAAGTAGTTATGAAGACCAAGCTTTTATCATGCAGATTAAGCCATCAGGTCGCAGGCCTCAGAGAAAATATATTGTAAATGTTTCTTATTACACTTGAGGTCTGTATTGATGTTAATGCTGGAGGGGTAAAATGAGGCATCTCCAACCCCCTCTTTCATCATTGCCTGAACTAGAGTTTCAGGATAACTCCAGAATGGCCTCAACCAAGAGGAGGGGTCCATTCAGATGGCTACTGGGGGGGCCTTAGAATTTCACTTTTGGTTAACACTGTCCCCCTTCTGGTCAAGTCAGTGGCCACCCAATTTTTATTTTGTCCTGTAGTGTTGCCAGGGTGGCATAGCTGCCTATTTCATGTCCATCCTATTTTTATAGCCTGTGAGTTTCAGGTGATTACCTAAGAACCTTAAGATACATGGTTATTTTACCAATAATTCAAGATTCAGCAATTTTCATTAAACCCACAATATTAACATCTTATTGGTTTAAAAGCTACACAAGCAGAGATAATTCTGTTTGGTGGCTGGGTTTATAGTTTTATAATTTTGTTTTTTGAGATGGAGTCTCACTCAGCCACCCAAGCTGGAGTGCAGTGGCAACACTCAGCTCACTGCAACCTCTGTCCCCTGGGTTCAAGAGATTCTCCTGCCTCAACCTCCTGAGTAGCTGGGACTACAGGTGCTCACCACCACAGCTAATGTTTGTATTTTTAGTAGAGATGGGTTTCACCATATTGGCCAGGCTGGTCTCGAACTGACTTCGTGATCCAACCACCTCGGCCTCCGAAAGTGTTGGAATTACAGGCATAAGCCAGTGTGCCTGGCCAATTTTATAAATTTTATGTCAAATTCTGACAACTTACAGTATGTGGCAGAGATAAGTACGAAATTGCTTGATCAATAAGTCATGTGAACTTGAAAACCATTTGGGCGAATTATTTAATTTATGAGTACTCTTTAAGTTTAAGCCAAATTTGTTGCCTTGTGATCAAAAACACATAACAAAATACGTGCACATACACATAAACACACACATACACACTCGTACAAACAAAGATCCTGTAGCTTTTGCTTCAGAACCCTAGCCATGAGATATTGATACAGACATTTAGGTTTGCAAAACAATAACAAAAATAATTGGATGCAAACAGTGGACTTTATCTTAGTGAACAAATCTGTACTGCAAAGCCCCTCATCTCAGTAATTGGGTGTCGTGTGAAGGGCACAGAGAGCCTGGTTCAGTGTCACCGGGGTAACCACAGCTCCAGATGCCACCTGAAATGTCCCAGGGCTGAAATTGCCAATCTCTTCTGGCCAAAGCTGTGCTCCTAGACCTGTTGGGGACCCAAGAGCCAACACTTGCAAGGATTCCAGGCCATGCATTTCTTGCCTGGGCCCACGTCTGAGGCCTGACTTAGGGTCCTGGGTGGATCTGACCTGGGGGTCCTTAAACCGCCCCATTGATTTTTTTTTTTCAGATGGGGTCTTGCTCTGTCACCAGGCTGGAGTAAAGTGGCGCAATCTCAGCTTACTGCAACCTCTGCTTCCCAGGTTCAAGCGATTCTCCTGCCTCAGCCTCCTGAGTAGCTGGGACTACAGGTGTGAACCATGGTGCCAATCCAACACCCTATGGAATTTTTAACATGCTTGGTGAGAGGAAATGGTACTGGGAACCCATGGACCTGCACACAGGGGGTGCCTCCTGTGGCAGTACCCGGCACCCTGCTGCCACCAGGAGACCCCTGGCCTGTCCTGCTGGCTGCCGGCTTATACTCCTCCATCATCAACGCCTCAGGTCCTCCCAGTCATTTCCAGTCCTCAGGGTTGCTCCTCCTTGGTCTCCTCCAGCCCTCAGCTCAGTGCTGCCCCTCCAACCTCACTGAGACCCTTGGTGGTTCTCTTCCATCCTCAGCTCCCTCACAGACCCTGGGTAGTATCCAGCCACACTCAGCTCTCTCTCCTGGATGCTCTGTCCTTTCATGGCCACTCAATACTACAGTATTCAAGTTCTACTGGTCATAGTCTTTGTTGGGGTATGATGATCATTACGAGCCATAGTTCACAGTGGAGTGGCCTGATTCAAAGAGGTATTCATGCTCTCAGTTGACCTGTGTTTTACTTCATGTGTATTGTTATAAATAAATACTTGAGGCTGAGTAATTTAGAAAGAAAAGAGGTTTATTTGGCTCACAGTTCTGCAGGTTATACAAGCAGCATGGTGCTGGCATCTGCTTCTAAGGAAGCCTCAGGAAACTTACAATCATGGCAGAAGGCCAAGAGGGAGCTGGCCATCACATGGTGAGAGTGAGCAAGAGAGAGACTAGGGAGATGCCTGCCTCTTTAAATAACCAGATCTTGGCCGGGTGCGGTGGCTCACACCTCTAATCCCAGCACTTTGGGAGGCCGAAGCGGGCGGATCACGAGGTCAGGAGATTGAGACCATCCTGGCTAACACAGTGAAACCCCGTCTCTATTAAAAAACAAAAAAATTAGCCAGGTGTGGTGGCAGGCGCCTGTAGTCCCAGCTACTCAGGAGGCTGAGGCAGGAAAATGGCATAAACCCAGGAGGTGGAGCTTGTGGTGAGCCGAGATTGTGCCACTGCACTCCAGCCTGGGTGACAGAGTGAGACTCCGTCTCAAAAAAAAAAAAAAAAAAAACAGATCTTATGTGAACTCAGAGTAAGAACCTGCTCGTGACCATGAGGACAGCACCAAGCATTCATGAGGGATCTGTCTCCATTTGCCAGTGGGCCCACCTCCAACATTGGAGGTCACATTTCAACGTGAGATTTGGAAGGGAGAAAACATCCAAAGCATATCAGTGGGGTAACACAAGTCATAGTAACCTGGACTAAATGAAACATAAAAATCAGAAAACCTTGGAATAGTCAAGTCTAAAACTGGACTAAATGAAATATAAAAATTAGAAAACCTTGGAATGATGCCACCTATCATTCAGGGAGACTACAAATCAGCCACATGCTGCTCCCATAAGCACGTCATGTGTTTTTTTCCCCTGAGAAATTCCCTTAATGTATTCAATGGCGATGTTTAGAGAAACAGTATTACCGGCCACGTTTTAAATTAAGTTCTCCATAGTAGTAAAATCAGGGGAAAGATACATGGAATCCAGTTTTTTTCAGCACCACAAACAAGCCCCCAGCATGGGCAAAGTGATGATCAAAAGCTGTGTCATGTTCCACCAAGTGTTTTTGTTGGACACAAACGTTCTTATCCACCAGGTGAAGGGTGGCCTCTACCTGTCAAAATCCCAGTGAAGTATGACCGGCCCCCAAATCCAAAATTTTTCCCAACTTACAGATTAGCTTCAAATTCCACACAACTGGCAACCCACTACCACCAAGTCTGAGGCCCCAAGAACCCCACTGGAACCTTGCCTCAGTGGAAACTAACTCATCTTCATCTATTTCAAGTTTGGTAGTAATTTCCGTTATTGACTGTTTTGACCTCTGATTGTGGGAAATATTATGGAAACTTTTAAGGAAAGCTATTTGGAAGGCAGGACTGAGCCAGGTTAAATAACAACGTCCAAACCAGCAAGGAGGCAGAAGGAAGAAAATTCTCTGTGGACCCAGGAGATACCCTGGGAGCTGGAAAAGGGGTCACCTCATGGCATGTGAACCGAGCTCAGTTGCATCGGCTTACCCCTAAGTCTGCCTAGCTCCTGATCAAGTTACAGGGGGAAATTTACTCTTATGTGGTCCACTTACAGCTGTGCAACCTACAATGTGCTCTAGATGGAGCAGCTGTAAGATGTCAGAGCTAGCAACAGCCTAGTCCCTGAGGCACTCTGTGGAGTACCACATACCCCTCACTGACCTGCATCTGTGGAGTACCACACACCCCTCATTGACCTGCATCTGCAGAGTACCACACACCCCTCACCGACCTGCATCTGTGGAGTACCACATACCCCTCACCGACCTGCATCTTTGGAGTACCACATGCCCCTCACTGATCTGCATCTTTGGAGTACCACATACCCCTCACCGATCTGCATAGGAAGGTGAGTGAGAAATAAGTTCTATTCTGAAAATTAGCGAAAATTTTAAAAACTATACAAAACAAAAATAACCATTCACAGTCTCTGGAAATGGTCCCAAGAGCATACAGCAAATAAAGTTTTACTCACATGCAGGAATTCAAAGAACTTCAAATTAGACAAACATAAAGAGATCCACAGACACATCATAGTAATGATGCTGAAAGCTAAAGTCACATGGGAAACGCTGAAAGCAGAAGTGAGATAAAGAAAGAGGAGCCATTGAGCTTAAAAGGGATCCTCTAAAACTGTTATAAATAGGAGGAATCCCAAGGAGACTAACAGCTGATTTCTCACCAGAAACAATAGAGGCCTGGAAGAAGAGGAATAACATATACGATGTCTGAAGAAAATATCTTGTATTCACCATGGCTATGGTTAAAAATGAGGGTGAAACAAAGACATACCTAGATTAACAAAACTGAAGTAATTCATTGCTACCAGACCTGTCTTACAAGAAACATTAAAAGAAGTTATTCAGGCTGAAAATGATAACCTCAGACAATAATCCAAATTTACACACACACACACACACACATTCCAGTAAAGGTAGATATGAAACTCTAAAACTGATATATTTTATATTATGAAAATAATAAAAGGCAGTATAAATGCACATTTTTCTATTTTTTTCTCTGGATTTAGAAAACAATTCATAAAACAATGTCTATCTAATGTATTGTTTGTCCTGTGACATACAAAATTTAATATGTTTGCCAATAACAGTCTAACCGAGATGAGTGGGAACAAAGCTGTATTGGGTTAAGACAACAACTCCATATATCACACTACAGACAACTCTAGTCTATAAAAACAAATGAAGAGGACCATAAATGATAAATAAGAAGATTAACTTAAAATTTTAAATATTTATGTGCTTTACTTTTTCCTCTCAGCTTCTTAAAAGATATGGTTATATGATGTAATAATTGTAACAATGTATTGTTGAATTTTTAGTATTTATTGATGTAACATAAATAAGAATAATACCTTAAAAAGGTACAGTAAGAAGGGTATAGAACTACATATGGTACAAAGCTATGTGCAGAAGGGTGTGAAGCAAGGTAGGTGTAATGTTTTTGTGTCTAAATGAAACTATTCTGAATTAGCATGAATCTGAAGCTGATTCTGATAGGTTAAGATGTATAATGTAAGCCCAAGAAACTGACTAGGATAATAAGCCAAAAATGGAGTACTAAAATCATTAAAGAAATGTAATTGCCATTTTAGAAAATATTCACTGTTGCCGGGCGCAGTGGCTCACACCTGTAATCCCAGGACTTTGGGAGGCTGAGGTGGGTGGATCATGAGGTCAGGAGATTGAGACCATCCTGACCAACATGGTGAAACCCCATCTCTACTAAAAATACAAAAATTATCCAGGTGTGGTGGCGGGCACCTGCAGTCCCAGCTACTCAGGAAGCTGAGGCAAGAGAATCCCTTGAACCTGGGAGGCAGAGGTTGCAGTGAGCCGAGATTGCACCACTGCACTCCAGCCTGGCAACAGAGTGAGACTCTGTCTCAAAAAAAAAAAAAAAGAAAAAGAAAATATTCACTGTTTGCAAAAGGAAGCAGAAAACAGGACTGAAGAATTAAAAGGACATACGAGGAATAAAAAACAAAAATTAAATGTCTGATATGATCCAACTATATCAATAATAATATTAAATATGACTTGATTAAACAACCTAATCAAAAGTTAATTCTTGTCAGACAATAAAAAATAAGATCCTCTATGCCATCTACTAGAGTAACATTTTAGATTCAAAGATATAAATAGAGTAAAAAGATGTAAATACATATATTATGCAAACAGAAACCCTGATAAAGCTATTCTAAAGCAGCCATACTAATATCAGACACAATGAATTAAAAAAAAAAACTGACCAGGTGCAATGGTTCATGCCTGTAATCCCAGGACTTTGAGTAGCCAAGGTGGGCGGATCACCTCAGTTCAGGAATTCTAGACCAGCCGGCAAAGATGGTGGAACCCCATCTCTACTAAAAATACAAAAATTAGTTGGGTGTGGTGGCATGTGCGTATAATCCCAGCTACTCAGGAGGCAGAGGCAGGAGAATTGCTTGAAACTGGGAGGTGGAGGTTGAGTTAAAGTTATATTATTTCCTCAGTGAGCTGAGATCACGCCATTGCATGCCAGCCTGGGTGACAAGAGAGAAACTCTGTCTTAAAAAAAAATTTTGTTTTTAGAGATAATGTGGGATATTTTACAATAATAAAATGGCCAATCCATCAGAAAGAAAGAAAGCACAAGTATAAACATATATGCACCTAATTAAACATCACCAAAGTACATGAAACAAAAACTGACAGAAATGACAGTTAAAATTGATGATGAGTGGAGACTTCAATACTGCACTTTGACTAATGGATAGAAAAACTGCAGAAGAGCAACAGGGAAACAGAAGACTCAAACAACTTCATAGTCCAGCTAGACCTGAAAAGCACACGCAAAACATTCCACACAACAAGAGAAGCTACATTCTTCTCAAGGGCTCATCAACATTGTCCATCATAGACTCTACACTAGGCCATTAAAGGAACTGAACAGTATGTACTCCAATCACAATAGAGTGAAACTAGAAGTTAATAACAAAAAAGTAGGGAAACCCAAATACGTGGATATTAAACAACACACATCCAAATTACTAATCAAAGAAGAAATCAAAACAGAAATTTGAAAATATACTTAAAGGAATGAAAATGAAGTCACAACATACAAAACTTAATGAAATTCAATTAGAGACATGCTTACAAGGAAATTTATTGCTGTAAATACAGATAATAAAAAAGAGAACTATTTCAAATCAACAACATAACTTTTGACATAAGGACACAGGGAAAAGGAGAGCAAATGGAAGCTAAAGTAAGCAGAAGGAAGGAAATAATAAAGATCATAGCAGAAACCAATGAGACAGAGACTAGAAAAGCAATAGAGAAAAACAATGAAACCAGAAGCACATTCAAACAAGCCTAACACAATTGACAAACCTTATTGTCATGAAAATGTATTTTGGGTATACAACCAAGAAGTAGTGAGTTGTAGGACACAGGAACTGGAGGACCAAGATAACTGCTGTTGCTAGGATCATCCCCCTGCATCCCCTCACCTAAAAATGTTGACCAGATTGTAGGAAACCCAAACAATTCCTTTAAGGAGAAAGTAAATAAATTAAGAAAGCAATTTAGATGGCTTTTTTCTTTTTTCCCTTGTTATTTTCATGATATAAAAGGTTAGACAGGCCTGCACTGCAAATGTGGAGATCTGTGTCATCTTTCTGCTGCCAAGACTATCCCAGTAAGTTCCTCCTGAATAAATCTTTGACTATCTACCAGCCTGGAGTGGTCTGTCTCTTTCTTTGGTCTGAGAGCTTCCTCTCCATTATGTAGAATAGCTCAGTTCTGACAGGGAGTTTTCCTAATATTTTTCTACACTGACTAGAAAAATAGAGAGAAGACTCAAGTAACTAAAATCAGAAAAGAAAGAGGATATATTACTAGCAGCATTGCAAAAAGAAAAATACATTTAAGGAAAAATAATATGAACAATGGTAGGCCAATATATTAGATAACTTAGATACAATGGAAAAATTTCTAGACACAAACCAGTGACACTGATGCAATAAAAAATGCTCTCACTAGACATAATAAGCAAAGAGTTTGAATTATTAATAAAGAAACAACTCCACACCAAGAAAAGCCCTAGCCCAGAAAGTTCACTGGTGAATTTTGTCTAATATTTGAAGAAGATTTAGGATCAATTCTTTTAAACTCTCCAAAAAATAGAAGTGGTAGGGACATGCCCCAACTCATTCTATGAGGCCAGTATTACCATGATAGCAAAGCCATACAAAGACATCACGAGGAAAGAAAAATTCAGACCAATATATCTTATGAATACAGATGCAAAACTCTTCAATAAAATACAAGCAAACAGAGAGGCCAGGTGCGGTGGCTCATGACTGTAATCCTAGCACTTTGGGAGGCTGAGGTGGGGGCATCACGAGGTCAGGAGATTGAGACCATCCTGGCTGACACAGTGAAACCCTGTCTCTACTAAAAATACAAAAAATTAGCCAGGCATGATGGTGGGCACCTGTAGTCCCAGCTACTCAGGAAGCTAAGGCAGGAGGGAGAATGGCATGAACCCAGGAGGTGGAGCTTGCAGTGAGCCGAGATCTTGCCACTGCATCCCAGCCTTGGTGACACAGCAAGACTCTGTCTCAAAAAATAAAATAAATAAAATAAAATAAAATGCAAACAAACAGAATACAGCAACATGTAAAAATAATTATACCTCATGACCAAGTTGGATTCATCCCAAGTATACAAGGTTGGATAGCAGTCAACAATTATTTAATATAATACACTATACCAACACAATAAGCAAAACCATGGTCATCTCAATAGTTGCAGAAACAAAATCCAACAGCCTTTCATGATGAAATATTCAACAAAGAAGGAAAGAAGGGAACATCTTTAAACTAATAAAGGGCATATGAAAAACCACAGCCAATAAAGTACTTAATGTTGGAAGCCTGTATACTTATATCCTAAGATCAGGAACAAGATAGATAAATCCACTCTCACTACATCCATTCATCATTGTGCTGGAGGTGCTAGCCAGGACAATTTGGCAACAGAAATAAATGTAAGTCATCTAGATTACAAAAGGAGAAGTGGGCCAGGCATGGTGGCACATGTCTGTAATCCCAGCACTTTGGGAGGCTAAGGTGGGTGGATCACCTGAGGTCAGGAGTTTGAAACCAGCATGACCAACATGGTGAGAACCCATCTCTACCAAAAACACAAAAATTAGCCAGGTGCGATGGTGTGTGCCTGTAAAACCAGCTACTTGGGAGGCTGAGGCACAAGAATCGCTTGAACCCAGGGGGTGGAGGTTGCAGTGAGCTGAGACTACACCACTGTGCTCTAGCCTGGGCAACACAGCCAGACTCCATCTCAAAAAAGAAAAAAAATGCTTGAGCTGGAGCATACCTTAAATAAACAATCCTCCTGTTCTCCATATCAGTCTCTCTAGTCCTCAGTTCCCTGCAACATTTTTGGCGACCATGAAGGGATTGGAGATGGCAAGTTTACTGTCTCCTTTGCCTCTAGGGGCTAGAGCCCCAGGCATCAGGAGACCTGTGGCCCCAGGCGCCAACAGGAGAACTTCAGCCCAGAGAGCAGATCAGCTTTCACGTGACCCGGCGCCCCTACCCAGCACTCAACAGAACCTTAAGAAAGCCTCCAGGATGATTCCAGAAACAGTGCGCTTCAAGAACTGCAGTAAAGTTTTAAGGCCCAAGGCAGGACCCATCCCATAAGGATGGAAGAGGAGCTGGATCACCTCCCAAGGTGTGCCTAATAGTCCAACCCAGAGAGGCTAAAGGCGGTGAGAAAGGCTCACCAATTCAGATGAAACCCACACCCCAACAAACACAAGATGTGAGACTGGTTTGCTAACTCAGTTAAGAAAAAGAAACTAGACATGGTGAGAGTGGCTTGCCACCCCAGTTAGGTACACAGGAACTAGGATTAGAGAAGTGAGTGAAAGTGTGTGAATGAAAAGACCTAATTAAACTCATCAGCCACAAAGTAAGGAGTCACAGATCTCTTATCATAGACTGTGTGCTCCGAGCAAAGTGTAAGGCCGACTACAAACAGTAGCGATCTGCATATGGCTAATAAGAACTGCCCTACAGCTCAGAGTTGTAGCAGGAATAAGGAACTCTCCAAAGCCAAGCAGCCTCTGAAAACTCCCATAATAGGAGATGGTACACTAGGCCGAAATGAGAGGAAAGAGTGTGCTGTGCCATAAAAGAAAGAATAGGAAGAAAGTCATCAAAACTTACCCTGTTAGAGTGAATGTTACAGAACTTTAAGAAAGGTTTTGCAGAGGACTATGTAGTTAAGCTATCCCCACAGAGGTTGAGAACTCTCTGTGAATTAGAATGGCCTTTTAGTGTTAGATGGCCGACCGAAGGTACTATAGATAAGGAAATAATTGACTGTGTATTTAAGGTGGTGACAAGAGTCAGAGGACACCCAAGGCATCCAGATCAATTTCCTTATATTGATTCGTGGTTAAATATAGCACAGACAAGACCAGCCTGGATCCAGCCCTGTTTAGCAGTTTATTTTGAAACACGTGTGGCCTGAGCCCAGCCAAGAGTGAAAGTAAGAGCAGCTTCACTGGCAGACACAGAGTTAAAGAAGTCCCAAAGAGAGCAAGAAAAGTCAGTTTTACAGGAGCTGCCAGAAAGAACAGAGATTCGTCCTCCACATGTCCCAGCCTACCCCCCTTTACTGAGTCCAACAGTCCCCCAGGAGCCAGACTTAAGAGCCAGCATGCCCCAAGTGTCACCCCAAAAGGGAGGATCAGAGCTTTGAGAGGTCAGGGAAGGAATTCAAGATAGTCAAGCAGGCTGTCTCAGATCTGGCGGTGCTCAAGCTCTGCAAATGCCTCTCTAGGAGACGTGAGGACCCATTTATTATGATGACCAAGGCCAAGTCCAAACAAGGCAATGGACTTTCATCAGTCAGCCCTTTTCAACCACTGATCTTTTAAACAGGAAACAGCATACTCCCTCCTACACGGAGAAGCCTCAAGCTCCTATAGATCTGATGCAACCCATCTTTCTGACACACAATCCAAGCTGACCAGACTGCCAGCAGCTCCTCCTCACATTAACACTGAGGAATGAAGGAGAGTAAGCCAGGAAGCTCTCCACTGACTAGAAGCCCAGGCATCAGCAGACAGTGTATGCTCAGGCACACACTCAAGGTCAGTTCCCAGACGCTGGCTAGGAGCCCAGGCATCAGCAGGCACAGTGCATGCTCAGGCATAATGCAGATGCAGTGCATGCTCAGGCATACACTCAAGATCAGTTCCCAGACCAAGAGCCTTACTAGGACCCAGGGGATGCAACTCAGCTTCAGCATGTGCAGAGGTACCAAGAGGCACTTCTGCAAAGGCTGAGATGATGGAAAGAAAGCCATTAATATAAAGAAGATTTCAGAAGTGCTTCAAGGAAGTGTTGAGAGCCCTAACCAGTTTTATGAAAGATTCTGTGAGGCATACAGGCTTTCACCCCGTTTGACCCTGAGGCCACTGAAAATCAGTGTATAGTGAATACGTCACTTGTAGGACAGGCCCAAAGTGATATTAAACTAAAGCCTAAGAAGTTAGAAAGTTTTGGCTGGGCACGGTGGCTCACGCCTGTAATCCCAGCACTTTGGGAGGCCAAGGTAGGTGGATCACGAGGTCAGGAGTTCAAGATCAGCCTGGCCAAGATGGTGAAATCCCGTCTGTACTAAAAATACAAAAAAAAATAGCTAGGTGTGGTGGTGGTGCCTGTAATCCCAGCTACTTGGGAGGCAGAGGAAGAGAATTGCTTGAACCCAGGAGGCAGACGTTGCAATGAGCCAAGATCGTGCCACTGCACTCCATCATGGGCGACAGAACGAAACTCCGTCCAAAAAAAAAGAAAGAAGAAGAAAAGAAGAAGAAAGAAGAAAAGAGGAAGAAGAAGAAGAAGAAAAGAAGAAGAAGAAGAAGAAAGAAGAAGAAGAAGAAGAAGAAGAAGAAGAAGAAGAAGAAGAAGAAGAAGAAGAAGGAGGAGGAGGAGGAGGAGGAGGAAGAAGAAGAAGAAGAAGAAGAAGAAGAAGAAGAAGAAGAAGAAGAAGAAAAGAAAGAAAGAAAGAAAGAAAGAAAGAAAGAAAGAAAGAAAGAAAGAAAGAAAGAAAGAAAGAAAAGATAGAAAGTTTTGCAGGTATGAATGTCACCCAGCTTGTAGAAGTAGCCACCAAAGTGTATGTTAACAGTGACCAGGAGGCAAAGAAAGAAGCAAATTGGAGGCTTAAGATCTGTTGGCAGCAGCCCTTATAGAAAAAGAGATTAGCAATGTAATTTGACGTGGACGCAGACTTGGATGTAGAAGAAGTCAAGTTAGACAAGGATTTGAAAGTTGACCAAGGCTAGAGAAGTATCAGTGTGCGAGATGCAAAAAGAAAGGACACTAGAAAGATGAATGTCCAGAAGGCAATGAAAGAAATGGCCAAGGCCGTGAGACAAAGAGGCCATTGGCCAAAGGCTGCCACACCTTAGAGGAACCAGATACTGATCTGATCAGGCTAGCAGGAGCTGAAAGATGTGAGGACTAAAACAGACCATGCTCCTTCTCATTAGGCCTCCAAGAGCCCATCGTCACTTGAGAAGTTGAAAGCAGCAAGATTCTGCTGTATCTAGATTATAAATTTCTCACTGATGGCTAAGCCATTATATGAAATTACAAAAAAAGAAAAAGAGAGAGAGAAAAAAAGAACCCCTCCTCTAAGAAACTGAACAGGAGAAGGAGCCATGCCTTCGTGCCTTGTGAAAACTTGCTTATGGACTTTACCAAAATGCCCCATGCCAGAGGCTATCAGTATATGCTAGCGTTTATTTGCACTTTTTCAGGATGGGTTGAGACTTTCCCCACCAGGACAGAAAAAGCACAAGAAGTGACTAAAGTACTACTAAAAGACATTATCCCCAGGTTTTGACAGCCTCTAACTTTAAAGTCAGACAATAGGCCAGCATTTGTAACTGAAATAGTGCAAGATTTAACAAGACTGTTAAAAATAAAATAGAAGTTACACACAGCCTACCGGCTGCAAAGTTCAAGAAAAGTAGAACACATGAACCAGACGCTCAAGCAGCTACTGAAGAAATATTGCCAAGAGACTCATCATGCGGGATCAAAGGATGGTCCCCTCTTAAACCAAACCAGGGTCCCTCCCTTTTACCAAGGGCCTATTTCTCTGTATTTTGATGCTTGTCAGGCAGCAGACCAAGACTCCCCTGTCTGTGGTAACCTACCTTTAGAAAGATACTATAGAAATGACTACAAATACGTATGCATGCCAAGAGTAACTCCACCTTGTTCCCCTAGGACCCCAGAAAAAGATTGTTGGCATTGCATATTGTAGCACCCTAGCACACAGCAAAGGTCAATTATGCTTACCAAAATGCCGGTGAAACCAGATTGTGAAGGAAAAACCTGTAATTCTATAAATTTCACCATTCTAAATCTAGACTTACCCATGTAGACTGCAGGTTACCCCATACATATGTATATACACACATACCCAGCAATCTACCTATATGTTATCAAAAAAGAACCCAGAACCATCCAGCCCAGCAACAGTTTCAACTCTTTAAATCATTCTATAAGCATGTAGACCAGAAGTTACCAGAGCCTACTCCTTTAGCCAAAAACCTGTGTGCTTAGCTGGTTGAAAACACTGCTGGCAGCCTAGGCATTTCGTTATGTTTGTAGAAAGACTAACGTAGGAGACCAATGGCCTTAGGAAGCAAAAGAGTTAATGCCACAAGATAATTTAACTCTAACAGACTCTTCCCCTGAACTGATGCCCACAAGTTCAAGTGTCTAGCTCTTAAAACTTCTATTATCAGGAGATACTGTGTTGCTCCCTGAAGAAAGGCTTTTACAGACGCAGTAGGAGAACTAACCTGCTTAGGACAGCAATATTATAATGAAACACTAAAGAAAATTTTGTGGCGAGGCAGAGATGACTCCAAAGCACCTCATCCAAATCCATTCTCCTGTTTCTCTCCTCTAAACCACACCTGGTATCAACTTGAAGCTCCAAATACTTGGAAAGCACCCCTTGGTCTTTATTGGCATCTGTAAGCCACAGGCATATCGACAGTTGCCAGCTAAATGGACAAAGTCCTGTGTGTTTGAAACAATTAGACCATCTTTCTTCCTACTCCCACTGCAACAGGGAGAAACTTTAAGGTATCCCGTCTATGATGAAGTTAGAAGAAGAAGCAAAAGAGATGCAGACATAAAAAGGGATATAGAAAAAAGAAATTAGAAAGACACAGATTGGCCCCCTGAAAGAATAATGCAATACTATAGGCCAGCTACCTAGGCAAAAGATAGGTCATGAGGGTACTGCACTCCTATTTACATGCTTAGCCACATCATAAGTTTGCAGGCAGCAAAGGATCACTAATGAAACAGCAAATGCATTAGATTTAATGGCCCAGCAAGCCACAAAAATGAAGAATGCTATTTATCAGAACAGATTAACTTTAGACTACCTCCTAGCCCAGGAAGCAGGGGTATGTGGAAAGTTAAATCTAACTAATTTCTGCCTGGAAATTGATGACAATGGAAAGGCAATTATAGAAATAACTGCAAGAATGAGAGAATTACCCCATGTTCCAGTTCAAACTTGGAAAAGGTAGTCTTCAGATTCCCTCTTTGGAGGCTGGTTTTCCTCCTTCAGTGGATTCAAGACTTTAATAAGAATAGTCCTGGCCATACTAAGGGTTTGCCCAATACTCCCTTGCCTCTTAACCCTCCTTGTTAGAAGCACTCAATCAGCTATAGAGGCAACAGTAGCTAGGCAAACTACCACTCAGCTAATGGATCTATATAAATATCAGCCTGTGCCTAAAGAAGAAAACTTGTCTCTTCAGGCAGAATTAAGTAATAGTGATGCCTTCTACTAAAATTCTTTTATAAAAGGCATCAAAAGGAGGAAACTGAGGCAGAAATTTAAAAATAAATATGCATTCATTCACTCCAAGAAAAGCAACAGGCAAAGCAAAGGTTAAAAAGAAAAGAACAAGTTTTCCTCTGCCTAGTAAGCTCACTTCAAAGACAGTTATAACACTGTTAGAGAAGCCAAGGCCAGAGGAATAGGCTCCAGACCACCCCCACTTCCAGAGCAAAGTTAAAAGAAAAAAAAAGCAAGAGAGAAAGACAAATTCCTTTACTGTTATTTCTTTCCCTGACTTCTTAAGCATGATGATGTTTTACAAATTTCTGTATTTAGCCAGTTCTTATTTTTCTTTTGATGCAGCTACAAGGCCACTAGCTATGCAAGGCCACAAGTTATGCCAAGTCAACAGTTATGCTATAGATTACGTGACCTGTCACTGTATGATTAACTGTTTTTGTTTCGCTTCTGTAAATTTGCTTAGAAAAGCCCCGCTCAGTCTTTGTTCAATGCTCAGCTTTTTAGATATGAATCCATGAATCCAGTGCATACCCTGTGGGCAGCAAGCCACCCAGGTGCTGAGGAAAGAGACTGAGGACACGAGCTGTTCCAGCATAATAAAATATAAAATAAGAATAGTTATACCAGATATAGATCTTAGATATGATTATATATGAATATTATTGATCTTTAGTTTGTAGAAATTACTCTTTATTCCAATATTATAATAATCCTCGCTCTATAATCATAAACTGGGAAAAACCAGGCCATACAAAGATAGGAGCTGAGGAGACATAGTGAGAAGCGACCAGAAGACAAGAGTGCAAGCCTTCTGTTACACCTGGACAGGGCCACCAGAGGGCTCCTTGGTCTAGTGGTAATGCCAGCGTCTGGGAAGACGCCAGTTGCCAAGCGGACCATGGTCTAGCGGTAGCGTTAGTGTCAAGGAAAAACACCTGCTACTTAGCAGACAGGGAAAGGGAGTCTCCCTTTTCCCAGGTAGTTTAGAGAAGACTCTACTCCTCCACCTCTTGTGGAGGGCCAGGCCCACTCGCTTTATCCAGAGGCTTAACCATCTCCCTGTGATGCTGTGCTTCAGTGGTCATTCTCCTAGTCCACCTTCATGTTCCATCCTGTACTCCTGGCTCTGCCATTTAGTTAGCAGTAGCAAATTAGTGAAAGTACTAAAAGTCTCTGATAAGCAGAAATAATAATGTAAGCTGTTTCTCTCTTTCTCCTCTCTCTCTCTCTGCCTTGGCTGCCAGGCAGGAAAGGGCCCCCTGTCCAGTGGACGTATGTCCCATGTGGCCTTACCTATCATTGGAGATGGCTCACACTCCTTATCCTGCCCCTTTGTCTTGTATCCAATAAATATCAGCATAGCCTGGCATTTGGGGTCACTATCAGTCTCCGTGTCTTGGTGGTAGTGGTCCCCCGGGCCCAGCTGTCTTTTCTTTTATCTCTTTGTCTTGTGTCTTTATTTCTATGCTCTCTTGTCTCTGCACACGAGGAGAAAACCCACCAACCCTGTGGGGCTGGACCCTACATACCCTAAAATAAACAATCGTCCTGTTCTCCATATAGGTCTCTCTAGTCTCTCGAGTCCTCTATTCCAGCACTTTTGAAGGCCAAGGTGGGCAGATCACTTGAGGCCACGAATTCAAGGCCAACCTAGCCAACATGGGGATACCCCATCTCTATTAAAAATACAAAAATTAGCCAGGCGTGGTGGCGCATGCCTGTAGTCCCAGCTCCTCTGGAGGCTGAGGCAGGAGAATCACTTGAACCTGGGAGGTGGAGGCTGCAGTGAGCTGAGATCCCACCACTGCACTCCAGCCTGGGAGACAGAGGGAGAATCCGTTTAAAAAGAAAAAAAAAAGTTTTTTCTGTGACAGCAACACTTAGAACTAAAAAAAAAAGTAAGATTACTTGCCAATATAATTGACTAGTTGGCCCACATTCGAATTTTCCCAACATTCCCGCAATGTGCCTGGTTGTCAAACCAGGATTTAGTAACCAGATTCCACCTCAGTCAGGCGGATAGACACCAATCCCGATCCATCCTCCGCTCCCGCTTGGAACAGAATTTCCCGCCTCAATACCGCAATGTCTCGTGGGAAATGCAGTCTCGGCTTCCAATGACGTCACCAGCACAGGGCGGCGGGAAGGGCTCTTTGCGCATGTGCCACCCCGCCTATGCACGCCATCTTCCGCCAGAGAATCCCGGCTCCTGCTGCAATGGAGAGGCTGCTCTGGAAGCTCTGGCATTGGGGTCTTCATCCCTGCAGGTTGGTGGCAGGATGAAACAGGAGACAGCGGGCTTGGAGGCACCATAGGGAGGCGGGGCTGACGTGCCACAGTTGGTGGGAGCAGAGGCGTGGGCACATCTCAGGGGACGGGGCCTGACGCACAGGTGCGGGCCGCGGACCCAGGCTGGGGCTGAAAGGGTGGCGCTGCTGGGAGGGCGGGCGTGGGATCCCAGTACTGAAGCCAGTTCCAGAGACACCGGAGTGGGTGGGTGAAGCCGGTGGCGCAGGGACGGGGTCTGCAGGCTGGCCGAGCCTGGGAGGTCTGCGGGGAGGCTGCGCTCTGGCACTGCATGGACCTTGTGTGGCATTCCGTGCACGCCCTTGTAAGGTCAGCATACGGACAGTTGTAGGGAGATGCCCCTCATTCCCAGACGAGGAGTACGAAGTGCGTGCACACAATCCTACTACCTGGCGAGTGTATTAGTAGGGTTTCCCGGTGTGTTTTCAGCAAGTGAAGATTCTGCTTGTGTCACCTTCCTACGCATCCCATCCCCGCTTTAGTTTATAGGAGTTTATACAAGATCTGGTTTCTAGGGAAGTTGGGGGTCCTAGATGATGGTCCTGTTTTCTTTGTAATAAAGTAGGTGTTACAAAGTTTCGAGGTGGGCGCCTTTTAGGAATCCCACCAAAAAGAACACCTCTTTGGACTAACCCTCTCACTGGTACTTCAAAGCAGAGGAGGTGTCACAGGTGAAGATTCCAGTTTGTATGACCCAAGCAGTTATTTTCCCACTCCCCAGAATGGCCCAGATTTGGTTGATAAGACCTTATCCAATAGCTCTCAAACACTGGGTGGTAGTGGAAGGTTTAGACCAACATTCAGAAGGAAGAGGGGAGTTTGGCTGTGAATGACAGGCAAGGGCCAAAGAGATGTTACTTGTTGGAGGGGACTTAATAGTTTGGTCTTCGGTGGAAAAATATCCTGTTATACTTGAGAGGATCTGTCTGGAGTACTCTGTAAAGACACTTTCATTCCTTCAACCTTTTCTCACTGTTTCCAGTGGCTGAACTTTCTTAAAAGTAGTCTAGGCCAAGGCAGGAGGATCACCTGAGGTCAGCAGTTCGACACCAGCCTGGCCAACATATAGTGAAACCTTGTCTCTACTAAAAAATACAAAAATTACCTGAGTGTGGTGGTGCACACCTGTATAGTCCCAGCTACTTGGGAAACTCAAGCAAGAAAATCACTTGTACTGGGGAGGCGGAGGTTGCAGTGAGCCGAGATTGTGCCACCCTACACTAGCCTGGGCAACAGAGTGAGACTCTGTCTCTCAAAAAAAAAAAAAAGTTCTGTCACGAAATTTAGCGTCCAGTCACTAAATTTAGCATTCAGTGATATGCTGAAGCTCCCTCTAACCTGGTAGCTTTTCCTGGTAGTTCAGTAAGGGTTAGCCAAACTATTTCTACCTTGTGAGAATGATGGAAAAAATTTGGCTTTGAGGAGCTGTGACTTGCCAGGGTCACATGATATACAGATGTTATGCATCCTGACTTTTTGGCTAGTGTTATTCATTTTGCCCCAATTAAGTCAAAACTTTTTTTTTTTTTAGATTTTTGTTGACACTGAAGTCAACTAAGAACAAATATTGCTTTAAAGTACTTTCTCAGCCCCTCCCTGCCTGCCCACCCCTCACGCTGGAAAAAATAATAATAAAGTACTTTCCCTTGCCGGGCGTAGTATCTCACAGCTATAATCATAGCACTTTGGGAGGCCAAGACAGGAGGATCGCTTGTGCCCAGGAGTTTGAGACTGGCCTTGGCCACATAGGGAGACCCAATGTGCTTACAAAAAAAAAAAAAAATTTTAGCTGGTTGTGGTGGCATCCATTTGTGGCCCCAACTACTTGGGGGGCTGAGGTGGGAAGATCACTTGAGCCCAGGAGGGTGAAGTTACAGTGAGCTGTGGTTGTGCCACTGCACTCCAGCCTGGGTGACAGAATGAGACTCTGTCTCAAAACCAACCAACCAACCAAGCAGAAACATTTCCTTAACCATCTCTGTTCCTTTTTATCCCCAACTCTTTCTGTGAATTATGTGACCTCAAGGACAAATAACAAGTGTTTCCTGCTCAGTGTCAGTAATCTGTTCTTGGAAATTATAAATTCTGTAGGAAAACAATAGCATATTTTACATACTTAAAAAGGGAATATTAGACAGTGTCTCACTTCTATTCCAACCAGTATCTTAAAATGTAAGTAAAATACCGTACAATGCTCACTCGTAAGAGATCCTTTTTGTGTATTATGTTTTTTTAAAGTCAACAGACATTTTTATGATGTAAAGAACTTTAAAACACAATTTACTAATATGCAAAGAGTAGCTTTTTATGATTAACATGGTCTCTTAGAACCAGCAGTCTCACTGATTTCCATCAAGTTGGCATTTATTGTGATTTGCAAAACTTCTACATGAGGTTGTGACGTTCTAGTGATTGTATTTGACAAGTAATTTCACATTATCTCCTTCACATGATTTTCTTAAAAACATTGAGTTCTGGTGGCTTAGGTGTATCAGTTACTGTTTTCTGTCTAAAGAACTAACGAAACTCAATGGCTTAAAAAGAAGTGACCATTTTATTTGATAGAAGTTCTGTTGATTCACATTTTAGCTTGTGTTCACCTGGGCATTTCCTTTGCTAATGTTGTCTGGATCACAAATGAGGCTTTAGTCATCTGGTGCCTTCACTCACATGTCTGGTGGTTCATGCTGACACTTGTCCAAGAAGGCAAGCACCAGTGGGCAAGTACTTTTCCAACCTATATTTTCATCATATTTTCTATGTCCCATTGGCCGAAGCAACTCAAATGGCAGAACCCCATTCATTATCAGAGCACACTCTATGAAGTCTTAGATACTGGGAGACTTGTCACTAAGAAACATTACTAAAACAGTATATCCCAAGAAATATACACTATGTACATTTTTCCCCCTATATAATCGTGGGCAGAAAATGTTGGGCTGCAAGATGCATTCTTTCAATGATGCTTAGAGATATAAAAGATGCATCCTTTCTATGATGCATAGGTATATAAGAGATGCATCCTTTCGATGATGAGTAGGTATATAAAAGATGCATCCTTTCAGTGATGCTTAGGTATATAAAACATACATCCTTTCAATAATAAGTAGATATATAAAAGATGCATCCTTTCAACGATGCTTAGGTATATAAAAGATTCATCCTTTCAATGATGTGTAAGTGTATGAAAGATGCATACTTTCAATGATACTTAAGTATATAAAAGATGCATACTTTCAATAATGCTTAGGTATATAAAAGATGCATCCTTTCAATGATGCTTAGGTATATAAAAGATGCGTCCTTTCAATGATGCTTAGGTATATAAAAGATGCATCCTTTCAATGATGTGCAGGTATATAAAAGATGCATCCTTTCAATGATGCGTAGGTATATAAAAGATGCATCTTTTCAATGATGCGTAGGTATATAAAAGATGCATCCTTTCAATGATGCTTAGGTATATAAAAGATGCATCCTTTCAGTGATACGTAGATATATAAAACATGAATCCTTTCAATGATGCGAAGGTATAAAAGCAAGATATATTCTAGTGGAAACACCTATATGGAATCATGTAGAATCTCCATATTAGTAGTGAAATTGTTAATGCAGCTGAATTATATTTCTACAGTATTAATTTCATTGAAGACTAAATGTATATTTCTTTGGTTTAAGTTATTACATTGTTTCTTTGGATAAATTAATTGTCCCTAAATCAGTAGGTAATACATGTTTTCATTAATCCCAAAATAAATTGTATGTATCTCTACTAATTAATGTACTTGTGGGTACATTTTCAGTGGCATATTTGTTGTCCCTTATTGAGGCATGAATGACTATTCTGTCACAGGGAGGTTTTGTTGTTGTTTTAGTCTTTTCCAGCTATTGTGTAGAGCGTTTTGGGCAAGAGAATCTAGGACCAAGCCACACCGGTTCTCTGCTTTAACCCACTCCATTCGACTGTTCTCCCAGCTATGTTTCCAGAGTGCTCTGTGCATTTCCACAATCAACAAAAGATGAACAAATCTCTTGTGAGTCATTTGTTTATATATTCCTCTCTTTGTTTTACATTGTATTTTTTGCCTTTATGGAGTCCACGGATTAAAATGAAAAAATAGAAATAAGTAAAATTCACGTCAAAGGAAATGCACATAAATAAAATAATGCTGGCATGTAGACATATGCAGGTTATAAGCCATGGAACTGGAGTACAAATGTGTCTCTGGTCTTTCTGATGCTGCAACAAAAAGGCAGTCACGTTTGTTACATGATTGGAATGGAACCTGGAAGGAGTGCATGCTGCATTCTCATGGGACAGGAAGACTTGCTGTCACCAAAGTCTGGAACACTGACTGCATTGGTCACAGAGATGATGTAGTGAAAAGTTTTTTTTACTGCCAACCTGGAAATAAATACTTTTAGCATTTTGCAGTAGAAAGAGTCACTTAGTGCTAAAGCATAACTCCCGTAATGAGGTTTTTCTGGAGTTGCTAAAACTTTGCAGTCCCAGACAGCTTTTGGAAGGCCCTACTTGATTCATGGCTAAAACCTAGAACATCTGGAGGATTGAGTTGACCACAGGTCCTTAACTAACCCCCCATACGTTTCTGTCAATTCATCTATACATGGAGAATTTATAGCAGATTGTTCACAATTGTATTTTCTGACAAATATGTCCACTATTCACTTGCACTTTCATTCAGTGTAGTCTTAATTGGTTTATTCTAATGCTCACCATTAACCTAAATTATATGCAACTCCAATGGCTATTCTCCAGTCTGCCTTACTTGAATCTTATGCCGTACAGTAATCCCCCTTATCCACAGTTTTGCTTTCTGTGGTTTCAGTTCCCTGTAGTCAACTGTAGACAGAAAAGACAATAAGATATTTTGAATATCTTGAATATTTTATTATTTTGAATGTGTTGAATACAGTAGAATAAGATATTTTGAGAGACCACATTCCTATAACTTTTAGTATAGTATGTTGTTCCATTTTATTGTTGTTAATATCATACTGTGCCTAATTTATAAATTAAACTGTCAAGGGTATGTATATATAGGAAAAAACATAGTGTATATAAGGTTTGGTACTATACACAGTTTCACGGATCTGCTAGGGGACCTGGAATGTATCCCCCATGGATAAAGGGGGACTCCTGCATTTCAAATTATTGTTCATGATCTTCTCCTGGAAATCTTCTGTGTTAGTTTCTATCATGACCTCACTGATGCTGCTTGTCTTTTTTTCCTGAATTCTTCTACTTCTTCTTTACATAGCTTATCCAATTGTTTCATCCAATTCCCCACCCATCCCACTGTGCAGTTCTTTTTTTGTTGTTGTTTGTTTGTTTGTTTGTTTTTTTTTTACCAGTTCTGCTCTCTGTGGTGTAGCAGTTGTGTTTATCTCCAGCATGGACTTCTCCGACCTTTAGACCAGGGATCCCCAACCCCCAGGCCATGGACCGGTCCAGTCTGTGGCCTGTGAGGAACTGGGCTGCACAGCAGGAAGTGAATGTCAGGCAAGCAAACATTACTGCCTGCACTCTGCCTCCTGTCAGATGAATGGCAGCATTAAATTCTCATAGGAGCATGAACCCTATTGTGAACTATGCATGTGAGGGATTTAGGTTGCCTGCTCCTTATGATAATCTAATGCCTGATGAACAGCTTCATCCCAAAACCATCCCCCCTCACACCCTGGTATATGGAAAAAATTTTTCACAAAACCTGGTGCCAAAAAGGTTGGGTATCACTGCTCTAGACCACAGGTTCAACTCTCCATTAAATGATTCTTTGTAGCTATCCGAAAGGCACTTCAAGCTTAACAAATCTAAAATAAAATTACAACCTTCTCTCTTCCTTTACACACGGTTTTAGATTACAGAGTAATTAGCTTCTACCTCTCAATAAAAGGAATAGTGAGAATCTGTAGCAGTCTTTAATAAACCACAGTTTTCCCTCTGGCTACAAATTATTTACATTCCTCCCACATGCAAAATATACTTACCTGTAGAGGTAAGTATTCACCCATGGAACTGTCACCACAAACAGTGCAATAAACAACTTTTGCCTCCACGAAATTCTCCCTCCCCCCCTCCCCGCCCCTTTTGGGATGCAACCATTTGACATAACATATATTCTCTGCATAAGTCCGTTCTCTCATTGCTATAAAAAACTACCTCGGACTGGGTAATTTATAAAAAAAGTGGATTAATTGGCTCACAGTTCCACAGGCTGTACAGGAAGCATGGTTGGGGAGGCCTCAGGAAACTTACAGTTATGGTGTAAGATGAAGGGGAAGCAGGCACGTTCTATGTATCTGGAGCAGAAGTGAGTGGTGAAAGGGGAGGTGCTGTACACCTTTAACAACCAGATCTCATGAGAATTTACTAACACGAGAACAGCAAGGGGCAAGTCTGCCCCTTGATCCAGTCACCTCCCACCAGGCCCCTCCTCCAGCCTTGAGGCTTAGAATTTGACATGAGATTTGGGCAAGTAAACAGATTGAAACCATACCATCCTCTTAACAAATTTTTAAATATGCAATTCCGTATTAACTACATGCTTTGATCTGTAGATTCCATATTTAGAACTTACTCATTGCATAACTAAAACTTATACTCTGTGACAAATACCTCCCCAGTTACCCTTCCCTCTCAGCCCTTGGTAACCACGATTCAGCTCTATGTCTTTGTAAGTTTAACTGTTTTACATTTTTATATACATGGAGTTCCACAGGCTGTACAGGAAGTATGGCTTCATTTGTGCTGGAACAACAAAATACTTCAGGCTTGGTATTTAATAAAGAACAGAAATTTATTCTTAACAGTTCTGGAGGCTGGGAAGTCCAAGATCAAGGCACTGTCATCTGGTGCCTGACGAGAGACTTCATCCTGCATCCTTACATGGTGGAAGGCAAAAGAGTGTCAGTGAATGAATGCACTCCCAGTCCATTCGAGAGGGAAGAGCCCTCACCTCATCACTCCCCTGAAGCCTCACCTTCTAATACTATCACCTTGGTGATTAGATTTCAACATAGGAATTTGAGGGGAATACATACATCCTGACTATTGCAGATGGGATTATGTAATACTTTGTTCCTGTTTTGCTTATTTCTTAGCACAATATCTTTCTGGTATGTGCATGTTTTGGCAAATGGCAAGATTTTCTTCCTTTTTAAGGCTGAGTAATATTTCATTGCATGTATAGACCACATTTTCTTTATACATTCATTATTATTGAGAGTTCTTATTACAAATGGGGAAGTGGTTTTTAATATTGATTTAATTTTTATTATTAAAACATTTTTAGATGGTTAAATTCTTTTTAAAAATAAATATACTTTATTAGTTAAGGCAGTTTTAATTTCACAGCAGAATTAAGAAGTACATAGATTTCCCATATACTGTGATCCACATATATATGTAGCCTTCGCCCTTTTCAAAACCTCCCCCCACCATAGTAGTACCTTTGTTAAAATGAGGAACCTACATTGAGACATCACAGTTGTCCAAAGGCCATAGTTTACATTAGGGTTTACTCTTGTGGTTTTACATGCTATGGGTTTGAGTAAATGTATAATGACATGTATCCAGTCTTATAGTACCTCACAGAACACTTTGTTCTAAAAGTCATCCCTGCTCTTCCTGTTTATTACTCATCATCCTCCTAACCCTGCAAACCATCTCCATCATTTTGCAGAATGTTACATAGTTGCAGTTATATAGTAAGTAGCATTTTCAGACTGCCTTATTTTACTTAGTAATATGCATTTAAGGTTCCTCCTTATCTTTTGAGGACAAGATAGCCCATTTCTTTTTAGTGCTGAATTATGTTCCATTGTGTGTACCATAGTTTATTCATTCACTTACTGAAGGACATCTTGGTTGCTTCCAAATTTTAGTTATTTTGAATAAAGCTGCTATAAATTTCTGTTTACAGGTTTTTATGCTAGTGTTTATTGTCACCTCCTTTGGGTAAATACCAAGAGGTGCAGTTGCTGGATCATATGGTAAGAATATGTTTACTTTTGTAAGAACAACCAAATTGTCCGCCAACTGAGTGACTGTACCATTTTGCATTTCCACAATCTGAATGAGAGTTCCTGTTGCTCTGCATTCTCACTGTCAGTTGTTGTCAGTGCTCTTTATTATGGCCATTCTACTAGGTATGTAGCGGTATCTCATTGTTTTAATATGTTACCCTAATGTTACACAATATAATGCATTCTTTTATATGTTTATTTCCTATATGTTTCTCATCATTGGTGAGGTATCTGTTAAGGTTTTTGGTCTATTTTATTAGGTGGTTTTCTTACTGTAGAGTTTTAAGAGTTTTTGGAGTATTTTATGTGACAGCCTTTTTATCAGATGTGAGTTTTAAGAGTTTTTGGATTGTTTTGTGTAACAGTCTCTTTATCAGATGTGAGTTTTAAGAGTTTTTGTAATGTTTTGTGTAACAGTCTCTTTCTCAGATGTTTTGTATAACAGTCTCTTTCTCAGATGTTTTGTGTAACAGTCTCTTTATCAGATGTTTTGTATAACAGTCTTTCTCAGAAGTTTTGTAGAACGGTCTCTTTCTCAGATGTTTTGTGTAAGTCTCTTTATCAGATGTTTTGTAGAACAGTCCCTTTCTCAGGTGTGTCTTTTGCAAATATTTTCTCCCAATCTGTGGCTTTTCTTCTCATTTTCATGACATTGGCTTTTGCAGAACAGAAGTTTTCAATTTTAATGAAGTCTTGTTTATGAATCATTTTAAAATGGATCTTGACATTGGTGTTATATCTAAAAAGTCATTACCTTTCCCAGGATAATCTAAGTTTTTTCCTTTGTTATTTTCTACAGTTATAACTTTCGCATTTTACATTGAAGTCTGTGACCCATTTTGAGTTAATTTTTGTGATGGGCATAAGATCTATGTCTAGATTCAGGTTTTTTTTTTTTAATGTGGATTTCTAGTTGTCCCCATGCCATTTGTTGAAAACAGCAACTTTGCTTTATTGTATCAGTTTAGTGTATTTAGGTGGGTGTATTTCTGGGCTATTTATCCTGTTCCATTGTTATTTTTGCCTACTTTTGGGTAATAACACAGTGTTTTGATTAATGAATAAGGCTTAAAGTTAGGCAGTGTTTGTCTTCCAACTTTGTTCTTCAGTGATTGACTATTCTTGGCCTTTTGCTTCTCCATGTGAACTTTAGAATCAGGTTTACTTTTATTTTGCTTATTAAGGTGTTATTGTATTCCTCATATAGATCTTGTTACATTTGCTAAATTTATACGTTAAGTGTTTCATCTGTTGGGTGCTAAATATAAGTAGTACTGTGTTTTCATAGCAAATTGCACTTGGTTGTTGTTGGTGCATTGGAAAGTGATTGACTTTCTCTTTTAATCTTGTATTCTGTGATCTTGCTTTTCAGTTCCAGGAGGGTTTTTTTTTCGGTTTGGTCGTTTTTCTTTTTTCTTTCTTTTTTTTTAAATTTTTTAGATTTTCTGCATAGACAATCCTGTCATCTGTGAACAAAGTTTTATTTATTCCTTCCCAATCTATATGCCTTTAATTGTATTTTCTTGACTCATTGCATTAGCTAGTATTTTCAGTATGATATTGAAAGGGATGCTGAGAGAATACATCTTTTTCTTCCTCCTGATATTGTGGAAAAGCTTTGAGTTTCTCATTATTAATTATGATGTTTGCTGTAGTTTTCTGTAGATATTCTTTATTAATTTCAGGAAGTTCCCCTCTTAGCTTATTGAGAGATTTTATCATGAATGAATGCTGGATTTTGTCAACTGCTTTTTGTGCACCTGATCATGTGATTTTTCCTTTTCACTCTCTTGATGTAATGAATTACATTAATTGATGTTCAAATGTTGAACCAGCCTGCTATCTCCAGAATAAATCCCACTTGGTGATGGTGTATGATTCTTTCTATATATTGTTGGATTCGATGTACTAGTGTTTTTGAGGATTTTTGTATGTATTTTCATGAGAGATAATGGTCTGTGGTTTTCTATTTTGAAATGTCTTTGGAATAATTCTGGCCTCACATAATGAACTAGGAAGCATTCCAACAGCCTCTATCATCTGAAATAGATTGTGGGGAATGGGTATAATTTCTTCCTGAAATATTTGGTCAATTTCCCAATGAATACATCCCGATCAGGTACTTTCTGTTTTGAAGGTTATTAAAATAATAGGTTATTCGGATTGTGTGTTTCTTCTTGTGTGAGTTTCAGTAAATTGTGTCTGTCAAGGAAGCGGTCCATTTGAACTAGATGATCAGATGTGTGCACAGAGTTGTTCATAGTATTTCCTCATTATCCGTTTAATGTCCACAGGATGTGTAGTGGTATCCCCTCTTTCATTTCTGATATTATTAGTTTCTGTCCTTTTTTTTCTTAGCCTGGCTCTAGGGTTTTAAATTTTATTGAAGAACCAGCTTTTTAAAAAAGCAGCTTTGTTGTTAATAATATTTTAAAAGAATCAGCTTTGTTGTTAATAATATTCTCTTGATTTTTCTGTTTTCAATTTCATTGATTTCTGCAACAATTTATTTTCCTATTCTTACTTTGGGTTTAATCTGCTCCTTTTTTCCTTTATTTTAGATC